>NC_000005.10:87988594-88291625 GCF_000001405.40 Homo sapiens
CATAATAAATCTGAAACTTCCTGAAAACACATTTCTCAATTAGAGCATTTTTCCAGGGAATTTGATAAAAGACAGTGCCAAGAGTAATCCTAGGAAGCGGGCTCTAAAATGGAATGTTGGAGCTGGATCACTCACTGGCCAGATGGCAATGAGGACCTTGTCCCTTGTGCTAAGTGGATTACTGATGGTCCCTGGCAGGCTATAACAGGTCCACTGATAAAACCTTTGTCAATGGCAACCTAGTGAAAGGGAATGCATTGGTGTGGGCAATATCTCAGGTATTCAGGAAATCTGGGAAATTTAGTAACAGAGATTATAACAAAAGACAGGAAAATTAATCAATAATTTAAGTCAAAGTATGAATGCCACAGGGCCTCCTTGGCAGCATCTAAAGGGCTTTAATCTGTTGCAACCAAAGTGCCAGAAAGGCAAAATATCAGGCCCAGAGCTTAATTATAAGATAGCATATGGCCAGGTGCAGTGGCTCACGCCTGTAATCCCAGCACTTTAGGAGGCCAAGGCAGGCGGATCACTAGGTCAAGTGATTGAGACCATCCTGGCCAACATGGTGAAACCCCGTCTCCACCGAAAACACAAAAAATTATCTGGGTAAGGTGGTGCACACCTGTAGTCCCAGCTACTTGGGACCACTGCACTCCAGCCTGGTAACAGAGCAAGACTGTGTCAAAAAAAAAAAAAAAGATAGCATATTTACAGCTAAATTCTCAACCCCAGCAGTTCTCTTGTTCCAAGGTCAGGGTCCTGACAGGGATGGAATAGGACTATGACACATGGGATGACATGGTTGAAAGAACATGGCATTCTTAGGAGAAACAGATGGACAGCCAACAAGTGTATTTTTTAATTTATACAACCAAAAAAAATCAAGGATGGGTAATCAAGAGAATGAGAGCAATTGCTCCACTAAAAAGCTGTTTATAGGCTCCAGCCAGTTTGAGACATAAAATTCAATGACTGAAAGAGATGCTGGGTCCCTAGGAGAAGCAAATTTATAACCCTGTAGCAAGTATATTTGTTAGTTCTCCCTAAGGGGACCTAAGCCATAAACTTGAGAAAGGAATACTCATATATTTTTAGGGCTGTTGGACAGAGGATCCATGTTAACATTGATAACCACAGGCCCAGAAGTCATCATGGCCCCTGTTAAAGTGGAGATATATGGGAGCTAAGTATAAAGTAGAGTCCTGACCTAGGTATGGCTTACAGCAGGTCCGTCTACTAAGTCCATGGTGATCACCTCTTTGGTCTCCAATGTGTAATTAGACTGAACATAGTTGGTAGTATGCAGAACCTCCACAATTGGTCCTTGGTATGTAAGGTACAACCTACCACAGTAGAGAAACCCAAATGCAAACGTCTGAAACTTTCCTTTTATAAGCCAAAATAATATTTCATCCTGGCAATAATGGCAGAGGATAGTGTCACACTTATAGACCTAAAAAAATGTAGGGGTAGTGGACATCATCACATCTCTATTTAAATTCATCATTGCCTAATGAATACAACAAAATCAGATGGATCCTGAAGATGACATTTCACTACCAATAACTTAACCAATTGCAGCTGCTGTGCCAGATGTGGTGTGTTTATCAAAACAGATTAATACAGCCTCCGGTAAAAGCTGTAGCCATTGATCTGGCAAATGTGATCTTTTTCATTCCTATCAGGAAAGAGGATAAGAAGCAATACATATCCAGTTGAAGTGGACAAACATACACATTTAGTCTTGCCCCAAGTCTACATTAACTCTGCAATCTTTGTCAGAATCTAGATGAATCACCTGGCTCATCTAGACATTCCACAAATCATCACATTGGTCTACTATATTGATAGCATCATGTTAATCAGACAAGATGATCAAGAATTGGCAAGTGTGGGGAGGTTCCAAGATGGCTGAATAGGAACAGCTCCAGTCTACGGCTCCCAGGATGAGTGACGCAGAATTTGGGTGATTTCTGCATTTCCAACTGAGGTACCAGGTTGATTTCACTGGGGCTTGTCAGACAGTGGGTGCAGGACAGTGGCTGCACGGCGAGGCATCACCTCACCCAGGAAGCCCAAGGGATCAGGGAATTCCCTTTCCTAGCCAAGGGAAGCTATGACAGATGGCACCTGGAAAATCGGGTCACTCCCACCCTAATACTGTGATTTTCCAACAGTCTTAGCAAACACCACACCAGGAGATTATATCCCACACATGGCTCAGAAGGTCCCACGCCCATGGAGCATCGCTCATTGCTAGCACAGCAGTCTGAGATCCAACTGCAAGGCAGCAGCGAGGATGGGGAGGGGAAGGCACCATTGTTGAGGCTTGAGTAGGTAAACAAAGCGGCCCAGAAGCTAAAACTGGGTGGAGCCCATGGCAGCTCAAGGAGGCCTTCCTGCCTCTGTAGACTCCACCTCTGAGGGCAGGGCATAGCTGAATAAAAGGCAGCAGAAACCTCTGCAGACTTAAATGTCCCTGTCTGACAGCTTTGAAGAGAGCAGTGGTTCTCCCAGGACAGAGTTTGGGATCTGAGAAGGGATAGACTGCCTCCTCAAGTGGGTCCCTGACCCCCAAGTAGCCTAACTGGGAGGCGTCCCCTAGTAGGGGTAGACTGACACCTCACATGGCTGGGTACCCCTCTGAGACGAAGCTTCCGGAGGAACCATCAGGCAGCAACATTTGCTGTTCAGCAATATTCACTGTTCTGCAGCATCTGCTGCTGACACCCAGGCAAACAGGGTCTGGAGTGGTCTTCCAGCAAACTCCAACAGACCTGCAGCTGAGGGTCCTGACTGTTGGAAGGAAAACTAACAAACAGAAAGGACATCCACACCAAAACCCCAACTGTACGTCACCATCATCAAAGACCAAAGGTAGATAAGACGACAAAGATGGGAAAAAACAGAGCAGAAAGCTGAAAATTCTAAAAATCAGATCACCTCTTCTCCTCCAAAGTAATGCAGCTCCTTGCCAGCAATGGAGCAAAGCTGGATGGAGAATGACATTGATGAGTTGAGAGAAGAAGGCTTTGGACGCTCAAAATTCTCTGAGCTAAAGGAGGAAGTTCAAACCCATCATAAAGAAGCTGAAAACCTTGAAAAAAGATTAGACTAAAGGCTAACTAGAATAACCAGTGTAGAGCAGTCCTTAAATGACCTGATGGAGCTGAAAACCATGGCAGGAGAACTACGTGACGAATGCACAAGCTTCAGTAGCTGATTCGATCAACTGGAAGAAAGGGTATCAGTGATGGAAGATCAAATGAATGAAATGAAGTGAGAAGAGAAGTTTAGAGAAAAAAGAGTAAAAAGAAATGAACAAAGTCTCCAAAAAATATGAGACTATGAGAAAAGACCAAATATACGTCTGATTGGTGTACCTGAAAGTGATGGGGAGAATGGAACCAAGTTGGAAAACACTCTGCAGGATATTGTCCAGGAGAACTTCCCCAACCTAGCAAGGCAGGCCAACATTCAGATTCAGGAAATACAGAGAACGCCACAAAGATACTCCTCGAGAAGAGCAACTCCAAGACACATAATTGTCACATTCACCAAAGTTGAAATGAAGGAAAAAATGTTAAGGGCAGCCAGAAAGAAAGGTCGGGTTACCCACAAAGGGAAGCCCATCAGACTAACAGCGGATCTCTCAGTAGAAACTCTATAAGCCAGAAGAGAGTGGGGGCCAATATTCAACATTCTTAAAGAAAAGAATTTTCAACCCAGAATTTCATATCCAGCCAAACTAAGCTTCATAAGTGAAGGAGAAATAAAATCCTTTACAGACAAACAAATGCTGAGAGATTTTGTCACCACCAGGCCTGCCCTACAAAAGCTCCTGAAGGAAGCACTAAACATGGAAAGGAACAACTGGTACCAGCCACTGCAAAAACATGCCAAAATGTAAAGACCATCGATGCTAGGAAGAAACTGCATCAACTAATGAGCCAAATAACCAGCTAACATCATAATGACAGGATCAAATTCACACATAACAATATTAACTTTAAATGTAAATGGGCTAAATGCTCCAATTAAAAGACACAGACTGGCAAATTGGATAAAGAGTCAAGACCCATCAGTGTGCTGTATTCAGGAAACCCATGTCACGTGCAGAGACACACATAGGCTCAAAATAAAGGGATGGATGAAGATCTAACAAGCAAATGGAAAACAAAAAAAGGCAAGGGTTGCAATCCTAGTCTCTGATAAAACAGACTTTCAACCAACAAAGATCAAAAGAGACAAAGAAGGCCATTACATAATGGTAAAGGGATCAATTCAACGAGAAGAGCTAACTATCCTAAATATATATGCACCCAATACAGGAGCACCCAGATTCATAAAGCAAGTCCTTAGAGACCTACAAAGAGACTTAGACTCCCACACAATAATAATGCAAGATTTTAACACCCCACTGTCAACATTAGACAGACCAACGAGACAGAAAGTTAACAAGGATACCCAGGAATTGAACTCAGCTCTGCACCAAGTGGACTTAATATCTACAGAGCTCTCCACCGCAAATCAACAGGATATACATTCTTCTCAGCACCACATCGCACTTATTCCAAAATTGACCACATACTTGGAAGTAAAGCACTCCTCAGCAAATGTAAAATAACAGAAATTATAACAAACTGTCTCTCAGACCACAGGGCAATCAAACTAGAATTCAGGATTAAGAAACTGACTCAAAGCTGCTCAACTATATGGAAACTGAACAACCTGCTCCTGAATGACTACTGGGTACATAACAAAATGAAGGCAGAAATAAAGATGTTCTTTGAAACCAATGAGAACAAACACATAACATACCAGAATCTCTGGGACAATTTAAAGCAGTGTGTAGAAGGCAATTTATAGCACTAAACGCCCACAAGAGAAAGCAGGAAAGATCCAAAATTGACACCCTAACATCACAATTAAATGAACTAGAGAAGCAAGAGCAAACGCATTCAAAAGCTAGCAGAAGGCAAGAAATAACTAAGATCAGAGCAGAACTGAAGGAGATAGACACACGAAAAACCCTTCAAAAAATCAATAAATCCAGGAGCTGGTTTTTTGGAAAGATCAACAAAATTGATAGACCGCTAGCAAGACTGGTAAAGAAGAAAAGAGAGAAGAATCAAATAGATGCAATAAAAAATGATAAAGAGGATATCACCACTGATCCCACAGAAATAAAAACTACCATCAGAGAATACCATAAACACCTCCATGCAAATAAACTAGAAAATCTGGAAGAAATGGATGAATTCCTGGACACATACACCCTCCCAAGACTAAACCAGGAAGAAGTGGAATCCCTGAATAGACCAATAACAGGCTCTGAAATTGTGGCAATAATCAATAGCTTACCAACCAAAAAAACTCCAGGACCAGATGGATTCACAGCCGAATTCTACAAGAGGTACAAAGACAAAAACCACATGATTATCTCAGTAGATACAGAAAAGGCCTTTGACAAAATTCAACAGCCCTTCATGCTAAAAACTCTCAATAAATTAGGTATTGATGGGACATATCTCAAAATAATAAGAGCTATCTATGACAAACCCACAGCCAATATCATACTGAATGGGCAAAAACTGGAAGCATTCCCTTTGAAAACTGGCACAAGACAGGGATGCCCTCTCTCACCACTCCAATTCAACATAGTGTTGGAAGTTCTGGCTAGGGCAATCAGGCAAGAGAAAGAAATAAAGAGTATTCAATTAGGAAAAGAGGAAGTCAAATTGTCCCTGTTTGCAGATGACGTGATTGTATATAAAGAAAACCCCATCATCTCAGCCCAAAATCTCCTTAAGCTGATAAGCAACTTCAGCAGTCTCAGGATACAAAATCAATGTGCAAAAATCACAAGCATTCTTATACACCAATAACAGACAAACAGAGAGCTAAATCATGAGTGAACTCCCATTCACAATTGCTTCAAAGAGAATAAAATACCTAGGAATCCAAATTACAAGGGATATGAAGGACCTCTTCAAGGAGAACTACAAACCACTGCTCAATGAAATAAAAGAGGATATAAACAAATAGAAGAACATTCCATGCTCATGGATACGAAGAATCAATATTGTGAAAATGACCTTAATGCCCAAGGTAATTTATAGATTCAATGCCATCCCCATCAAGCTACCAATGACTTTCTTCACAGAATTGGAAAAAACTACTTTAAAGATCATATGGAACCAAAAAAGAGCCCACATTGCCAAGACAATCCTAAGCCAAAAGAGCAAAGCTGGAGGCATCACACTACCTGACTTCAAACTATACTACAAGGCTACAGTAACCAAAACTGCATGATACTGGTACCAAAACAGAGATATAGACCAATGGAACAGAACAGAGCCCTCAGAAATAATACCACACATCTACAACCATCTGATCTTTGACAAACCTGACAAAAACAAGCAATGGGGAAAGGATTCCCTATTTAATAAATAGTGCTGGGAAAACTGGCTAGCCTTATGTAGAAAGCTGAAACTGGATCCCTTCCTTACACCTTATACAAAAATTAATTCAAGATGGATTAAAGACTTAAATGTTACACCTAGAACCATAAAAACCCTAGAAGAAAACCTAGACAACACCATTCAGGACATAGGCATGGGTAAGGGCTTCATGTCTAAAACACCAAAAGCAATGGCAACAAAAGACAAAATTGACAAATGGGAACTAATTAAACTAAAGAGCTTCTGCACAGCAAAAGAAACTACCATCAGAGTGAACAGGCAACCTACAGAATGGGAGAAAATTTTTGCAATCTACTCATCTGACAAAGGGCTAATATCCAGAATCTACAAAGAACTCCAACAAATTTACAAGAAAAAAACAAACAACCCCATCAAAAAGTGGGTGAAGGATATGAACAGACACTTCTCAAAAGAAGACATTTATGCAGCCAAAAGACACATGAAAAAACGCTCATCATCACTGGCCATCAGAGAAATGCAAATCAAAACCATAATGAAGTATCATCTCACACCAGTTAGAATGGTCATTATTAAAAAGTCAGGAAACAACAGGTGCTGGAGAGGATGTGGAGAAATAGGAACACTTTTACACTGTTGGTGGGACTGTAAACTAGTTCAACCACTGTGGAAGACAGTGTGGCAATTCCTCAGGGATCTAGAACTAGAAATACCATTTGGCCCAGCCATCCCATTACTGGGTATATACCCAAAGGGTTATAAATCATGCTGCTATAAAGACACACGCACAGGTATGTTTATTGCAGCACTATTCACAATAGCAAAGACTTGGAACCAACCCAAATGTCCAACAATGATAGACTGGATTAAGAAAATGTGGCACATATACACCATGGGATACTATGCAGCCATAAAAAAGGATGAGTTCATGTCCTTTGTAGGGACATGGATGAAGCTGGAAACCATCATTCTGAGCAAACTATCACAAGGACAAAAAACCAAACACCACATGTTCTCACTCATAGGTGGGAATTGAACAATGAGAACACTTGGACACAGGAAGGGGAACATCACTCACTTGGGCCTGTCGTGGGGTGGGGGGAAAGGGGAGGGATAACATTAGGAGATATACCTAATGTAAATGATGAGTTAATGGATGCAGCACACCATCATGGCACATGTATACATATGTAACCAACCTGCACATTGTGCACATGTACCCTAGAACTTAAAGTATAATTTAAAAAAAAAATTGGCAAGTGTGTAGGAGGCCTTCTTTAAAACACATGTGCTCTAGAGGGTAGAGGATAAACCTTATAAAGATTCAGGGGCCTACAAATTTTATATAACATTACAATTTTAAGAGGTTGAGTGATGTGTCGTATGCCAGAACATCCCCTCCTATGTAAAGGGCAAATTATTATGTTGCAGAATCCCTACCATGAAGAATCATACCTAATATTTCTTTTCAGGTTGTAGAGGTAGCATATTCCATACTTGGGAATGCTGCTCTAACCAATTCACCAAACGATGTAAAGGCAGTCGGCATTGACTATGGCTGAACACAAGAAAGAACTCTGCAGCACCTCGTAGGCTGCGGTGCAAGCAGCTCTGCCTCTTAGGCTGTAGAACTTATCAGGCTCTATGGTATTAAATCTTCTCAAGATTTGAAGCAGTTCTAAAAAATGATATGGTTTTGCAATAATTAAATATAGGTAATTCTGACAGCACTGGTTCCTTAAGCCTATCATGCTTCATGTTTAAAATTTGGCTACTGGAAGAAACACATCATTTTCCATATTAGAACTGATGTGATTACTAGTACCATATCTATATGAAGACAATGTCTAGATAATGAATACAAATAGTGGTAAATGAGGGGATTTTTCATAGGCTTCCAGAAGCCAAAATAATATCTTGAAAAATGAAATAGTTGATGAACTACACAGTTATTTCCTCTATATAAAACTGTAATCTTCAACTCTTCAACTTCCTTAGGACCTTCAAGGTCATCTAGTCTGGCACTTTAATTTTACAAATGAGGAAACTGAGGCAAAAAGAAAAAAAAGATTAAAAATTTCCCTGATATATTTTCAGTTAAAATTTGACCAAAGCCTAATTTACATCCAATTATATTCCCATAAAACCAAGTCTCATCAATTCTATATTTAACAATTAAAAACTCAAATCAATCAAATCTAAAATGCAATCATATAAAAGATATTCATATATTAAATCATAAAAAATAGAACAGGTGATTAAAAAAGGAGTCATTTGTTCAGACATCTCCTTATCTGGAAACATAGTTCACATGTCATGTGGTCTTAAGCCTTTACTTCTTCTAACAAAACCCTTTATACAAACTCATAATGACACAAACTTGCTAAAATTTATGTCCCCATTTCTCCTGATTAATTTATAGACTGAACGTCATCACTTTTAATAATTTTATGAGATTGGTAGTTTTATGGCCAGTTTTTTAATATCACAGTGCAGTTGTTTCAGAGATCTCAAAATATCATTTATAGTTATCACCTATTTCAAAAACACTGTTAGAGAAAAGCATCACATAAAAACCTAATATGAGAAAGTACGAAAATAAAGGAAGGGATAAAGTTCCATGGAAGCATAGGGAAGGAAGTATAGAACTCTCCTTAGAAGGGGTGAGGAGTGTTTTATAGAAGTAACATATGATATTGGCCTTGAAAAATGAATAGAGATTGTCCAGATAAGAGAAAGAGAAGAGGCCTTTCGAAAGCCAACAGAGCAAACAACATTTCAAGGACTCTGAATTGTGAAAGAGAAGGATGAATCGTTCTGTTCTATAGGAGCATAAAACACGAGTGAGTGCAGGAAGCAAAGGGAGGAGCAGAGACAGATGATGAAGCTGAGAAGGTAGACTGGGGAAAGATTGTGAAAGGATGTGCATGCTATGCTAAGACCTTCAGATCTGTCCCTACAGGCAATGGTAAACTACTAAAGGTCTTAAGTGGAAAGTTTCAGTGTCACATTTGCATTTTAAAGTTGAAATGGCTAATATCAATGTGGAGGAAAAACTGGTGGCATGGAGACCAGTGACAGAAATATTGTAATAGTTTAGCAAGAGATGTAAATTGTTGCTTTGAGAGATAAGAGAGCAATAAAAATTAAAAATGGTTAATTTTCTGCCTTAGATGATGGGGTAATGACGATGCCATTAACAAAAAATAAGGGGGATATAGAAATGTGAACATGAAGTCATAATTTAAAAAGAAGATTGTGTAATTTGGGAATGCCTTCAGCTTCATGCAACAAAGAACATCTATCACTGGCGTAACACAAATAAGGTTTCGTTTTTCTCATTAAACAAGAAGTTTGGAAGTGGGCAGCTACTGGCACTTGTTTAGAACTTGGTAATATTTTGGCTACACCAAGGAAAAAATATGGATGGCAATATGTGCATGAAAAGGGTTCAACATCATTAGCCATTAGGGAAATGCATATTAAAACCTGGAAAATGTGATCATTCCCACTCCTATCCGGAAAGAGGATAAGCAGTATATATTTACTTGAAATGGACAAGCAAGCATATACATTTAGTCTTACCCCAAGGCTATATTAACTCTACTGTCTCTGTCATAGCTTATGACATGACTATGATGAGATACTACTATGCATATATTAGAACTACTAAAATTCAAAAACCGATGTTATCAAGTACTGGCAAAGATATGGAAAAATTAGAACTCTCAAACATCGCTAGTGGGAAGACTAAATGATACCGTCACTTTGGAAAATCATTTGGCATTTTCTTATAAGGTCTTACAAAGTTAAACATACATTTACCATATCATCCAGCAGTCCCACTCCTAGATATTTACCTAAGAGAAATTAAACTTTATGTTTACACAAAAACCTATACACGAATGTTTATAGCAGCTTTGTTAATAATCACTAAAAACTGGAAACAGGCCAGGTGCAGCGGCTCACACCTGTAATCCCAGCACTTTAGGAGGCTGAGGCGGGCAGATCACCTGAGGAGGGAGTTTGAGACCAGCCTGACCAACATGGAGAAACCCCATCTCTACTAAAAATACAAAATTAGCTGGGCATGGTGGTGCGCACCTGTAATCCAAGCTACTTGGGAGGCTGAGGCAGGAGACTCACTTGAACCCAGGAGGCGGAGGTTGTGGTGAGCCGAGATCACATCACTGCACTCCAGCCTGGGCAACAAGAGCAAAACTCCATCTCAAATAAAAAAACAAAAAAAAAACACTGGAAACAACTCAAATACCCCTCAGCCAGTTAATGGATAAATTGTTGTCATTCTTACAGTGGAATATTATTCTGCAATAAAAAGGAACAAACTACTGAAGACAACATGTGTTCATTATGTTTAGTGAAAAAGATAGAAACAATCACATGAAGGATTCCATGTATATGATAGTCTGAAAATGCAAAACTAAACGTTAAACTAATGTAAAACCAAAAGAACTGTAATCGTATCAGTGATGGCCATGAACAGGGTGAGGAAACTGGCTACAAAGAGGCATGAGGAGATTTCATGGGATGATGGAACTGTTCAATACGGATGGAACTGATTATGGTGGTGGTTATACAATTGTATATATTTATCAAAACTCATGGAATTATACACCTAAAAGGGTAAATTTTACTGAATGTAAATTATACTTCAACAAATGTGATACTTAAAAGGCTAGATTATAAGATAATTGCTTATTTTCAGGAAAAAAAATGGATAGTCTTATAAGACTAAGGTGCTAACATTAACACTTAATATGATGTGGAGGAAGCAGAATTAGAGACTTAGTATCCCATAGTAAGTTAATGGTCAGAATTTTTAATGTTTGAAGATGTGTCTTTTTACATTTATGGGAAATATTCAATGGGCTTGAGAATGATTTTATCTTTTTTCTTGATGCTGTGTAACCATAAATTTCTGATAAACGTTAGCTTTTTAGAACCTTTTTACTTTCCAACTCTTGTTACCTTGAGCTACTTCTCAGTCAACGATCTGTATTTGCTTTTATTTCATTATTTATATTTTATTCTTTATAGCATATATGGTATACTATTTTACTAAATAAATCTATAATTTATTATTATAGATTTACATTGTACTAAGTTCATCAATTACAAAGAGATGTAGAGGCTTTTATAAATCTGATCACATATACACATATAACGTATAATGCCATGATTTTTACATTTCTATTTTACCATAAAAAGACTTTCAACTAATGAAAAAATATGATACATAGATATCATACAGCAAACTTATGATAGACATAGATAGATATAGTTTTGTATAAGACAGTAGTTGAGAACTTTATATTCTTCTATTGCTAAGAAATAGCATTTTATCTATTTTCCAAAATTTCCTGTGTGCATTGCTAATGATAACCATTCAACTTCTCTAATTAGGTCAAAATGGTATCTTGGAAGACAATGGTTCAATTCACTATGACTTCACAAACAACATTAACTCAATAGAACTCTACATCAGACCTTTTTCTCCCATTTTCTCATAGCAGAATCTCTAGCTCATGAATACAAGACTAGCATACAATCAGAAGGTTCAAGGACAATGGTGTTGAGTTTTCTGGGTTTATACGCATTGGATTTGTGAGGTATCTTTGCCTGAGTTCTCACCCTAAGTTTCCTGAAAGACAGACAAGCCTGAGCACCATTAAAAACACTGGCAATTTGTTCTCAGGTTAAATTTCTCTTCCACTTATGTATGTGTTTTGTATGCTTTTGTCGTGTTTGTCCTACACAGTGATTTCTCTTTGGAATCTGCCCCACCTTCCTATAGGCCTGGGGAAATCTCCCAAACAGTGGCTGTGAATGCACCTCAAGACCCATTTTCTGACCTCTTTTCTACACTGTACTTGACTGTTTAATTTCCTATTTAGGACAAATTAATTGTTGCATGCTCTAATGAGACTGCAAAGGATCCCGTTCCAGTCCACAATCTTGGAAGAGGTTACGCAGAGGTTGTCCAGATTGATGGTTCCAGGGTGGATGACCTGAAAATGAACTTTGACTAAACTTTGCTCTTTGTGCACTTGCCGGTCTGCACTTGGAAAGTGGCAATTGTCTGTAGCAGACAATTTAAAACTTCAGGCTAAGATTTTGTGTGGAGGTTCGCCTTTGGAAGAGGGAGAGGGAAAAAAACGCTTTGTCAATCTTTTCAATACTGGTTTTACCAATTGTTTTTCTCAGTGTTTTATTCTTTATTATATCCAAGCTACGTTTCAGAATGGAAAGTATTAGCCCAACTAAAAATGTCTTTTTTCATTTTCCCTTGCTCCAGATGCAATATAAGTTAGAATAATTTTTTTAACTTGAACCCAGTCTACTATAATGCAAATCGTATAATGCCCTTAAGAATTTTGATAATATGCTTACAAATATTAATTGGTTCCCACAACCTGTGAACCATGCATTAAATCCGTTCACTGATTGGATATAATTTATCTCTGGTTTATGTTGGCATTGAAGACAACTGTGTTGAAATGATTAAATTTCAACTCTGCAATCCAAGACTACAATCTAGAGATTCCTCCTGAACTAATTATTCATCAAAATGAATACTAGAGAACCTTTTCCATTAAAGTGCCAGTACAAAGTGACAGAACATTCTGAAATAAATTATTTAGGCTCAGCTTACCCTGGCAGTTAGACTGGAGTCTATGTGTTCTATAAAACCACGTTTTGAATAACATAAAACTACTCTCCACTTAAAGAAACATAAACAAAATAACAGTGTTATTTTAGATAATATTCTTCATTATATTTCCTCATAAGCAGTTTATTAAATGTCACATTGTTCTCATAAGGAATCATGAATAGGAAGTGCCATCTCCTTATGAGAGTTGGGAAAACTGACATTGGAAAACGGCTTCGATTGTTTTATGAAACAATAGATTTGGAACAAGAAGTCAACATTTCTTTTCTGGCCACTTTTCATTTTTCTTCATCCTTGCATCCATTATTTCCTGAAGTGGCCTACACAATCCCAGGTGGTACCCAACTATCTCCCTTGTCTCACAGTAACATTAAGTGAAAATAAACAAAGATGGAGGGGCCTTAACATACCCCTGTATTCGTAGGTAGAAAAGAGTTTACTGATATCTTTCTTATTGACCAAAGTCCCATAAAAGTATAGGGGAGCATCATAAAAGATCACCACACACTTGGAACCAGACTGAAGTGGACATGAAAGACTCTCAGTCTTCCCTTAAAAATCTGTGTAAACTCCCAATCTTAGCAACACCCTAGAGAAACCAGATTGTTTCACCTTCTTAGAAGCATTCTTTATGTCTTAGTTGAATTGGGCTTTTTTTCCATAGGTTTTGGGGAACAGGTGGTGTTGGTTACATGAGTAAGTTCTTTAGTGGTGATTTGTGAGATTTTGGTGCACCCCTCACCCAAGCAGTATACACTGTACCCAATTTGTAGTCTTTGATTCCTCACCTGCCTCTCACTGTTTCCCTCAAGTCTCCAAAGTCCATTGTATCATTCTTATGCCTTTGCATCCTCATAGCTTAGCTCCCACTATGAGTGAGGGCATACTGTGTTTGGTTTTCCATTTTTGAATTAGTTTACTTGAATAATGGTCTCCAATTCCATCCAGGTTACTGTGAATGCCATTATTTCATTCCTTTTTATAGCCGAATAGTATTCTATTGTGTGTATGTGTATATACATATATATATACACACACTCTCTCTCTATATATATATATACACACACTATATATATATATATACACACTATATATATATATACACACACACTATATATATATATAAACTGTGGTGTATATATGTATATATATACACATATATATATATATATATGTATATATACACCACAGTTTCTTTATCCACTCATTGATTGATGGACTTTGGGCTAGTTCCATATTTTTGCAATTGCAAATTGTGCTGCTATAAACATGCTTATGCAAGTGTCTTTTTTGTATAATGACTTATTTTCTGGGCAAATACCCAGGAGTGGGATTGCTAGATAAAATGGTAGTTCTACTTTTAATTCTTAAAGAATCTCCACACTATTTTCCACTGTGTTTGTACTAGTTTACATTCCCACCAACAGTGTAAAAGTGTTCCCTTTTCACCATATCCCTGCAAACATCTATTTTTTTTTTTTTTTTGATTATGGCCATTCTTGGGGGAGTAAGGTGATATCGCATTGTGGTTTTGATTTGCATTTCCCTAATCATTAGTGATGTTGAGTATTTTTTCAAATGTTTTTTGGCCATTTATATACCCTCTTTTGAGAATTGTTTATTCACGTCCTTAGCCCATTTTTTCTGATGGGATTATTTGTTTTTTCTTGCTAACTTGTTTGAGTTCCTTGTAGATTCTAGATATTAGTCCTTTGTTGGATGTATAGATTGTGAAGATTTTCTCCCACTCTGTGGGTTGTCTGTTTGCTGACTGTTTCTTTTGCTGTGCAGAAACTTTTTAGTTTAATTAAATCCCACCTAATAAAAAAATCATTGTTTTTGTTGCATCTGCTTTTGGGTAGAGTCAATATTGTGAAAATGACCATACTGCCAAAAGCAATCTACAAAGTCAATGCAATTCTTATCAAAATACCACCATCATTCTTCACAGAACTAGACAGGACAACACAAAATTCATATGGAACCAAGAAAGAGCATAGCCAAAGCAAGACTAAGCAAAAAGAACAAATCTGGAGGCATTACATTACCTGACTATGCTATATTGTAAGGCCATAGTCACCAAATCAACATGGTACTGGTATAAAAGTAGGCTCATAGACCAATGGAACAGAATAGAGAACCCAGAAATAAAGCCAAATACTTAAAGCCAACTAGCTTCGACAAAGCAAACAAAAACATAAAGGGGGGAATGGACACTCAATTCAACAAATGGTGCTGGGATAATTGGCAAGCCACATGTAGAAGAATGAAACTGGATCCTCATCTCTCACCTTATACAAAAATCTACTCAAGATGGATCAAGGACTTAAATCTAAGACCTGAAATCATAAAAATTCTAGAAGACAACATCAGAAAAACCCTTCTACACATTGGCTTAGGCAAAGAATTGAGGCTTTTTAAAAAAGATTTCTTTAGAAGGCATCAGAGCCCCCATTGGACTACAGAGCAGATCACAATTTTTTTTTTTTCTTTTTGAGACGGAATCTCACTCTGTCTCCCAGGCTGGAGTGCAGTGGCACGATCTCGGCTTACTGCAAGTTCTGCCTCCCAGGTTCATGCCACTCTCCTGCCTCGGCCTCCCGAGTAGCTGGGACTACAGGCACCCACCACCACGCCTGGCTTTTTGTATTTTTAGTAGAGATGGGGTTTCACCGTGTTAGCCAGGATGGTCTCGATCTCCTGACCTCCTGATCTGCCCACCTTGGCCTCCCAAAGTGCTGGGATTACAGGCATGAGCCACTGCGCTCAGCCTACAATTATTTTTTTAAATATTATCCCTTTTAGTGTTACTGTGCACTCCTAAGGCCAGTCTTCCATGCCCAGAGACAAAGAAACTTGAGACTGCTAAATCAATTCCTCAAGTTTCTCCAAGTTTGTTTTTTGTTTGTTTGTTTGTTTGTTTGTTTGTTTTTGCTAGAGTTCTCTAATATCGACCAGTACCTATTGACTGGCACAGAGTTAGGCAGGGATCAAGGAACCAAGGAAGGCATCTTTCTAGACTATAGTCAACCAGCACACACTCATCAATAAGGCTGGCCTATAGAAAAAAAAAATAAAATGCCATTCTGTGGATTCTAGCATCTCTTGAAATTACATTATCCTTGGGTAAATAGGATTGAGGAAAGAGTGTTGATAGAAACTTCTGTCAATAAACTACACTCTCCACTCTTTACTTCCCTTAATTTGTCCATTAAAAATCCAAGATCAACATTGGAACTGGAACTCATGGGCAGGCATAAAATAAAAGTCTTAGAACTAGAACTCCAGAAGCAGTGTTCCTGCAATACTCCTTCCACCTGAAATAGTTATTGACTGAATAATCCATAATATATTGGCCCAGTCTCCTTTGCAAGAATAGAGCTTGATTGTTACATCCTAAGCTAAATTAGGGTGAAACTGAAATGAAAGAGGCAGAAGCAAATCCTCTGATGAACAAAGATGATCTGCGTTAATATCAGAAATGAAAGTGGCAGAATGTGCTGGAAAAAAAAAATAGCCTTTTGGACTTGGAAAGGGATAATATCTGCTAAATAGAATGTCTTTCACTGTTTTCCATGAGGCATCATCAACTCTTTGGGGGTGATTTCAAATCACACCAGGTTGTACTAACTTGGCTCAGAGATTAGAAATTGAGACGCAGCTATGATCAGGTACTTATCGCAGTTTAGGATGCTATAGAAAATGATACAGCAATGACCTAGTCTCTGTTGCTTCCATTCTTCACAGCTTTCACTTATTTACTTTCCTCTGGAAGGCAATTTGATTTTAGAGATGTTGTTGTTATGAACTTTTTTTAAGTTACTGACTTATCTTTTGGTAGAAATTTAAGATGGACCACTGCTGTTCCTGTAAAACAACGCTCTAGACTCAGTGGAAAAAAATGATTGACAGCTCAGTGCCTTTTGAGGGTTTCTTTCAAATTGAACTCCATGTCAAGACTTTCAGTCATCTAAATTCTCAAATTATTCCATGTAGAGAGCTCTAGGTGCCCTGCAACCTTCTCCACTGGCTACATGCCTCTTTCTTTCCTCTTAAAACAGTACTGGGAACAGAAGTACTAACAAAGCTAAGACCACAGTGCAACCAAGAAACATTAGACAAAAGCTAATTCCATTTTTTTAAATATATAATCAGTGTCCCTGAGCACTGATCACAAGCAAATGAGAGTGTAGCTTAGTTTAAAGTTAATTTCTTCATCACAAATAATTATAGTAAATTGGTTTTGTGCTATCAACTCTTACTATATTTTCAATTGATTCACTACCAAAACAGAAAAAAGCCTGAAAGACTAAGGCCACATGGCATTAGGGAATGAAAATTATTTACTCTACGAAGCATATTTTTGAATTGTTAAACAATAATAACTGGTTTTGAGTTAGATGATTGGCATGCTGGAAAAATTTAGAAAGGAGGAAATTTGTTTCCCTAGAATACATCAGCCTATTAATTATTAAGGCAGGCAATCCATATTTATACAAAGAAAGATTGTTCATCTTGTATATGTATACATAGTCATTTAAAAATGGCAATGATTACAACTAAATACTAGACTAAATTTTTCAATTATGTATATTAGAAATAAAAAATATATAAAACTTCAGGTTCCTATTTAGAGAAGACTTTTATTTCTAGGGAGCCATTATAACATCCAAGAATCTATAGACCTCTGTATTATCATTATATTCATTCTTTTATCTTTTTTATGCTGATTCCCTTGATGGTTTTTTTCTTCCTTTCTGTTTAGGGCAGGCAGCTTTCCTTTATATTATTCCCAATAGTGTTGAGGTGTGAAGCAAACAGTAAGACAATCAGGTACAAGCTATTCATCAGGATTAGGTAAAAGTCAGAACAATTCAACCGAAATTAATAGGAAGGGATGTAACAAACCCACCTTCTTACAATTTATTTGAAAGTCAGATAATATCAATTAGCATTTATCAAATAAGAATGGGCAGGTGAGAGTGACAGCATTTTACCTACCTCGAAGGAACATGTGATGATGAATGACTCAATCATGAAATATTTTAAGTCAGCATTTCTTGAGCACTGACTGTATTTAAGCAACTCCAAATATCAAAATAAAACAGAAAAACTCAGTTGTGGAGCCATAGTTGGATGGACACAAAGCCATTACGCTTAGCATTTCACTAAGATAGAGTCCTAACCTTCTGTCTGTTCATGTCCTAAGAGATAAGCACTAAATAATGTTTATCTGGATTCTATTTGATTAGTTTCAGTGTGAAAAATCATTTTCTGCGTATGTGTATTACCCTTTTCTAAGGAGCTCCTGGGACTCCACAGTTAATTCCCACCAATCCCTCCAAGATGGCTACTATTAGATCCCTTTATGAGGAGAGAAAATGAAAGCGAAGACAGAACTCTTACCCTTGCCTCAATTTACTTACTGGTAAATCACTCTTCCTGCAGGGAAAAACAGAGAATTCTTGACCTTGCAACTCCTGGTGTGTTCGAGTTTAAATTCACTGAGAAATTTCAAGCTGCTTATATTTTATTTGAATATTTGATGTCAATGTTGACACCAGTATTACAAACATGGAATAAAGTGTTGAAAGCAAATGTGGCTAGTGAGATATGATTAATTTAGGTTATGTCTATAAATTTGAATGTATTAGATTTCTTAGCCTTCCAGTTAAATAGATAATTAATGCCAAGAAAAGATAATTGTTTACATTAGATAGTTACACAATTAGAATTTTATGGAAAAATTATTCGACTCAGCTACTGTTTTTCTTTTCATTCATTCATTCATTAAAAGTATAAATATGGAGCACCTGCAGCTGTGTACTAGAGCTAAATGCATAGTGACTAGGCATTGTGTGAGGGCTGAGGATATGCACAGGGGGCTAGCAGACTCCCTCCCTGCCAGCATGGAACTCCTGGTTTGGCAGAGGAAAACCACAAAGTCCATTTAAACATCTCATGATACACAGGTAAAAGAGAGCTATCAATGGAGTACACCACGTGGACACCTAATCTACCAGGGATAACCAGACAACAACCAAGAAAGACATCTTAGTGACAAAAAAAGGTATGCAGGGATTAGAAAAGTATTGAGACAACTGATTTGATGATTAAATGTAATATGAGGCCAGTTAAGCCTTATATTGTGGGGGCTGTAAGGGTGCTAAGGAGAAGGAGGGAAATGTTAAGCAAAACTCTTAGATTTAATGGATGTGATCTTAAAATGCCTTCTTTTTGAGAAATAAATTAATTTAATGAAAATTTAACTCATTTAATGTCATAGAACATGTAAATTATTTTCTGGGGACTGGTGGCTTACATGGCGAAATGCAATAAGTGTTTGCTTTAACTCTACTTTCAAGAAATACCTAGAGTATATAAGTCATAGAATATCAATATACCACTTGATTCTAAGTGTTTCTTCGCAGTTATGCAGTGAAGTTGCCAAATAGGATGCAAACACATTTAATTGGGCAAATTGAATTAAATAGATACTAAAGGTGAAAAAATTACTGATAACAGCCCAGAGATCTAACTTGAAATTTGTAGTATCCTTTTAAATAACAGTATTTTCAATTGAAATATCAAAAAAAATTTACAAATTTGAGAAATTCCTGTCTTAATATGAGACAAATGAAAAATTCTGCATTTACTAGGGAAATATTAAAACCTTAGAAAGAAAAATTCAAAAATGAAATAAATATAAATCTATCAAAGCACGTACATTTGATGTTTGTAATAGTTTTCTAGGGCTGCTGTAACAAAGTATCACAAACTAAGTAGTTTAAACAACGGAAATGTATTGTCTCACAGCTCTGGAGGCTGTGAATCCAAGATCAAGGTATTAGCAGGGTTGCTTCCATCTGAGGGTTGTGAGGAAGAATCTGTTTCATGCCTCTCTCCTAGCTTCTGGTGGTTTGCTAGTAATCTTAATCTTTAGCATTCTTTGGCATCATCTCAATCTCTGTCTTCATCTTTACATGGTATACTGTCATGTGCATGTGTCTCCAAATTTCACCTTTTTATAAGTGCAACAATTATATTGAATTAGGTCTTGTTCTAATGAGCTCATTTCAACTTGATACCTTTATAAAGACCTTACCTCCAAGTAGGGTCACATTATGAGTTACTGCAGGTTAGGATGTCAGCATACAAATTTGGAGAAGGGCCAAATATAACAATGCTGAAAACTACACATCATTGTTCAACGAAATCTAAGTAAATGGAGAAGCATGTGTTCATGAACTGGAAAACTCAACATAGTAAAGATGTCAATTCTCCCTAAATTGAGCTGTAGATATAATTCCAATAATAATCCCAGCAAAATTTGTGTATGTATAGAAAGGTATATATTTGTATATATTTTTATATAGAGAGAAAAGTATATATTTGTATATAGTTTTGTATATATACAAAAATACATATTTGTATATAAAAGTATATACTAGTATTTTTTTGTTTATGTGGAAAACATATATTGTAAAATTTATTTGAAAAGACAAAAGAACTAGGACTACAAAAATAATTCTGAAAAAGAATAAAGTCAAAGAAATCATGCTACCCAACTTTAAGATTTATCATAAAATTACAATAATTAAAACAGTGTAGTATTCATGATGGGACAGACATATAAATGAATGATCATAGCAAATACAGAAATGAACCCAAACAAATCCTTCAAACTGATTTTTTTTAACCAAAGATTGCATTTTTTTTTAAATTTTATTATTATTATACTTTAAGTTTTAGGGTACATGTGCACAATGTGCAGGTTTGTTATATATGTACACTTGTGCCATGTTGGTATACTTGTGCCATGTTGGTATGCTGTACCCATTAACTCGTCATTTAGTCATGAGGGACCTAATGCTGTCCCTCCCCACTTCCCCCACCCCACAACAGTCCCTGAAGTGTGATGTTCCCCTTCCTGTGTCCATATGTTCTCATTGTTCAATTCCCACCAATAAGTGAGAACATGCAGTGTTTGGTTTTCTGTCCTTGCAATAGTTTGCTGAGAATGATGGTTTCCAGTTTCATCCATGTCCCTACAAAGGACATGAACTCATCATTTTTTATGGCTGCATAGTATTCCATGGTGTATATGTGCCACATTTTCTTAATCCAGTCTATCCCTGTTGGACATTTGGGTTGGTTCCAAGCCTTTGCTATTGTGAATAGTGCCACAATAAACATACGTGTGCATGTGTCTTTAGAGCAGCATGATTTATAATCCTTTGGGTATATACCCAGTAATGGGATGGCTGGGTCAAGTGGTATTTCTAGTTCTAGATCCCTGAGGAATCGCCACACTGACTTCCACAATGGTTGAACTAGTTTACAGTCCCACCAATAGTGTAAAACCATTCCTATTTCTCCACATCCTCTCCAGCACCTGTTGTTTCCTGACTTTTTAATGATCGCCATTCTAACTGGTGTGAGATGGTATCTCATTGTGGTTTTGATTTGCATTTCTCTGATGGCCAGTGATGATGAGCGTTTTTTCATGTGTTTTTTGGCTGCATAAATGTCTTCTTTTGAGAAGTGTCTATTTATATCCTTCACCCACTTGTTGATGGGGTTGTTTGTTTTTTTCTTGTAAATTTGTTTGAGTTCTTTGTAGATTCTGGATATTAGCCCTTTGTCAGATGAGTAGGTTGTGAAAATTTTCTCCCATTTTGTAGGTTGCCTGTTCACTCTGATGGTAGTTTCTTTTGCTGTGCAGAAGCTCTTTAGTTTAATTAGATCCCATTTGTCAATTTTGGCTTTTGTTGCCATTGC
The DNA here is from genome assembly GCF_000001405.40 of Homo sapiens. Classification (NCBI taxonomy): domain Eukaryota; kingdom Metazoa; phylum Chordata; class Mammalia; order Primates; family Hominidae; genus Homo; species Homo sapiens. Next base: position 88,010,513 of record NC_000005.10, read on the forward strand.
TTTTGGTGTTTTAGACATGAAGTCCTTGCCCATGCCTATGTCCTGAATGGTCTTGCCTAGGTTTTCTTCTGGGGTTTTTATGGTTTCAGGTCTAACATTTAAGTCTTTAATCCATCTTGAATTAATTTTTGTATAAGGTGTAAGGAAGGGATCCAGTTTCAGCTTTCTACACATGGCTAGCCAGTTTTCCCAGCACCATTTATTAAATAGGGAATCCTTTCCCCATTGCTTGTTTTTGTCAGGTTTGTCAAAGATCAGATGGTTGTAGATGTGTGGTGTTACTTCTGAGGGCTCTGTTCTGTTTCATTGGTCTATATCTCTGTTTTGGTACCAGTATCACGCAGTTTTGGTTACTGTAGCCTTGTAGTATAGTTTGAAGTCAGGTAGTGTGATGCCTCCAGCTTTCTTCTTTTGGCTTAGGATTGTCTTGGCAATGTGGGCTCTTTTTTGGTTCCATATGATCTTTAAAGTAGTTTTTTCCAATTCTGTGAAGAAAGTCATTGGTAGCTTGATGGGGATGGCATTGGATCTATAAATTACCTTGGGCAGTATGGCCATTTTCACAATATTGATTCTTCCTACCCACGAGCATGGAATGTTCTTCCATTTGTTTGTATCCTCTTTTATTTCACTGAGCAGTGGTTTGTAGTTCTCCTTGAAGAGGTCCTTCACATCCCTTGTAAGTTGGATTCCTAGGTATTTTATTCTCTTTGAAGCAATTGTGAATGGGAGTTCACTCATGATTTAGCTCTCTGTTTGTCTGTTATTGGTGTATAAGAATGCTTGTAATTTTGGTACATTGATTTTGTATCCTGAGACTTTGCTGAAGTTGCTCATCAGCTTAAGGAGATTTTGGGCTGAGATAATGGGGTTTTCTAGATATACAATCATGTCATCTGCAAACAGGGACAATTTGACTTCCTCTTTTCCTAATTGAATACCCTTTATTTCCTTCTCCTGCTTAATTGCCCTGGCCAGAACTTCCAACACTATGTTGAATAGGAGTGGTGAGAGAGGGCATCCCTGTCTTGTGCCAGTTTTCAAAGGGAATGCTTCCAGTTTTTGCCCATTCAGTATGATATTGGCTGTGGGTTTGTCATAGATAGCTCTTATTATTTTGAGATATGTCCCATCAATACCTAATTTATTGAGAGTTTTTAGCATGAAGGGCTGTTGAATTTTGTCAAAGGCCTTTTCTGCATCTATTGAGATAATCATGTGGTTTTTGTCTTTGGTTCTGTTTATATGCTGGATTACATTTATTGATTTGCGTATGTTGAACCAGACTTGCATCCCAGGGATGAAGCCCACTTGATCGTGGTGGATAAGCTTTTTGATGTGCTGCTGGATTTGGTTTGCCAGTATTTTATTGAGGATTTTTGCATCAATGTTCATCAAGGATATTGGTCTAAAATTCTCTTTTTTGGTTGTGTCTCTGCCAGGCTTTGGTATCAGGATGATGCTGGCCTCATAAAATGAACTAGGGAGGATTCCCTCTTTTTCTATTGATTAGAATAGTTTCAGAAGGAATGGTAACAGCTCCTCCTTGTACCTCTGGTAGAATTCAGATGTGAATCCATCTGGTCCTGGACTTTTTTTGATTGGTAAGCTATTGATTATTGCCACAATTTCAGAGCCTGTTATTGGTCTATTCAGAGATTCAACTTCTTCCTGGTTTTGTCTTGGGAGGGTGTATGTGTCCAGGAATTTATCCATTTCTCCTAGATTTTCTAGTTTATTTGCATAGAGGTGTTTGTAGTATTCTGTGATGGTAGTTTGTATTTCTGTGGGATAAGTGGTGATATCCCCTTTATCATTTTTTATTGCATCTATTTGATTCTTCTCTCTTTTCTTCTTTATTAGTCTTGCTAGTGGTCTATTAATTTTGTTGATCTTTTCAAAAAACCAGCTCCTGGATTCATTACTTTTTTGAAGGGTTTTTTGTGTCTCTATTTCCTTCAGTTCTGCTCTGATTTTAGATATTTCTTGCCTTCTGCTAGCTTTTGCATGTGTTTGCTCTTGCTTTTCTAGTTCTTTTAATTGTGATGTTAGGTTGTCAATTTTGGATCTTTCCTGCTTTCTCTTGTGGGCATTTAGTGCTATAAATTGCCCTCTACACACTGCTTTGAATGTGTCCCAGAGATTCTGGTATGTTGTGTCTTTGTTCTCGTTGGTTTCAAAGAACATCTTTATTTCTGCCTTCATTTCGTTATGTACCCAGTAGTACTCAGGAGCAGGTTGTTCAGTTTCCATGTAGTTGAGTGGTTTTGAGTGAGCTTCTTAATCCTGAGTTCTAGTTTGATTGCACTGTGGTCTGAGAGACAGTTTGTTATAATTTCTGTTATTTTACATTTGCTGAGGAGTGCTTCACTTCCAACTATGTGGTCAATTTTGGAATAGGTGTGGTGTGGTGCTGAAAAAAATGTATATTCTGTTGATTTGGGGTGGACAGTTCTGTAGATGTCTATTAGGTCTGCTTGGTGCAGAGCTGAGTTCAATTCCTGGGTATCCTTGTTAATTTTCTGTCTCGTTGATCTGTCTAATGTTGACAGTGGGGTGTTAAAGTCTCCCATTATTATTGTGTGGGAGTCTAAGTCTCTTCGTAGGTCACTCAGGACTTGCTTTATGAATCTGGGTGCTCCTGTATTGGGTGCATATATATTTAGGATAGTTAGCTCTTCTCGTTGAATTGATCCCTTTACCATTATGTAATGGCCTTCTTTGTCTCTTTTGATCTTTGTTGGTTGAAAGTCTGTTTTATCAGAGACTAGGATTGCAACTCTTGCCTTTTTTTGTTTTCCATTTGCTTGTTAGATCTTCATCCATCCCTTTATTTTGAGCCTATGTGTGTCTCTGCACGTGACATGGGTTTCCTGAATACAGCACACTGATGGGTCTTGACTCTTTATCCAATTTGCCAGTCTGTGTCTTTTAATTGGGGCATTTAGCCCATTTACATTTAAAGTTAATATTGTTATGTGTGAATTTGTCCTGTCATTACGATGTTAGCTGGTTATTTTGCTCGTTAGTTAATGCAGATTCTTCCTAGCCTTGATGGTCTTTACATTTTGGCATGTTTTTGCAGTGGCTGGTACCAGTTGTTCCTTTCCATGTTTAGTGCTTCCTTGAGGAGCTCTTTTAGGGCAGGCCTGGTGGTGACAAAATCTCTCAGCATTTGTTTGTCTGTAAAGGATTTTATTTCTCCTTCACTTATGAAGCTTAGTTTGGCTGGATATGAAATTCTGGGTTGAAAATTCTTTTCTTTAAGAATGTTGAATATTGGCCCCCACTCTCTTCTGGCTTATAGAGTTTCTACTGAGAGATCCGCTGTTAGTCTGATGGGCTTCCCTTTGTGGGTTACCTGACCTTTCTTTCTGGCTGCCCTTAACATTTTTTCCTTCATTTCAACTTTGGTGAATCTAACAATTATGTGTCTTGGAGTTGCTCTTCTCGAGGAGTATCTTTGTGGCGTTCTCTGTATTTCCTGAATCTGAATGTTGGCCTGCCTTGCTAGATTGGGGAAGTTCTCCTGGATAATATCCTGCAGAGTGTTTTCCAACTTGGTTCCATTCTCTCTGTCACTTTCAGGTACACCAATCAGACGTAGATTTGGTCTTTTTACATAGTCCCATATTTCTTGGAGGCTTTGTTCATTTCTTTTTATTCTTTTTTCTCTAAACTTCCCTTCTCGCTTCATTTCATTCATTTCATCTTCCATCACTGATACCCTTTCTTCCAGTTGATCACATCGGCTCCTGAGGCTTCTGCATTCTTCACATAGTTCTCGAGCCTTGGCTTTCAGCTCCATCAGCTCCTTTAAGGACTTCTCTGCATTGGTTATTCTAGTTATCCATTCGTCTAATTTTTTTTCAAACTTTTTAACTTCTTTGCCATTGATTTGAATTTCCTCCTGTAGCTCAGGGTAGTTTGATCATCTGAAGCCTTCTTCTCTCAACTCATCAAAGTCATTCTCCATCCAGCTTTGTTCCATTGCTGGTGAGGAGCTGCGTTCCTTTGGAGGAGGAGAGGTGCTCTGTTTTTTTAGAGTTTCCAGTTTTTCTGCTCTGTTTTTTCCCCATCTTTGTGGTTTTATCTACTTTTGGTCTTTGATGGTGGTGACGTACAGATGGGTTTTTGGTGTGGACGTCCTTTCTGTTTGTTAGTTTTCCTTCTAACAGACAGGACCCTCAGCTGCAGGTCTGTTGGAGTTTGCTAGAGGTCCACTCCAGACCCTGTTTGCCTGGGTATCAGCAGCAGTGGCTGTAGAACAGCGGATATTGGTGACCTGCAAATGCTGCTGCCTGATCATTCCTCTGGAAGTTTTGTCTCAGAGGAGTACCCGGCGGTGTGAGGTGTCAGTCTGCCCCTACTGGGGGGTGCCTCCCAGTTAGGCTGCTCGGGGGTCAGGGACCCACTTGAGGAGGCAGTCCGCCCGTTCTCAGATCTCCAGCTGCGTGCTGGGAGAACCACTACTCTCTTCAAAACTGTCAGACAGGGACACTTAAGTCTGCAGAGGTTACTACTGTCTTTTTGTTTGTCTGTGCCCTGCCCCCAGAGGTGGAGCCTACAGAGGCAGGCAGGCCTCCCTGAGCTGTGGTGGGCTCCACCCAGTTCGAGCTTCCAGGCTGCTTTGTTTACCTAATCAAGCCTGGGCAATGGCAGGCGTCCCTCCCCCAGCCTCGCTGCCACCTTGCGGTTTGATCTCAGACTGCTGTGCTAGCAATTGGGGAGACTCCGTGGGCATAGGACCCTCTGAGCCAGTTGAGGGTTATAATCTCCTGGTGTGCCATTTTTTAAGCCCGTTGGAAAAGCACAGTATTAGGGTGGGAGTGACCTGATTTTCCAGGTGCCGTATGTCACCCCTTTCTTTGACTAGAAAAGGGAACTCCTTGACCCCTTGCACTTCCTGAGTGAGGCAATGCCTTGCCCTGCTTTGGCTCATGCACGGTGCGCTGCACCCACTGTCCTGCACCCACTGTCTGGCACTCCCTAGTGAGATGAACCTGGTACCTCAGATGGAAATGCAGAAATCACCCGTCTTCTGCGTCACTCACGGGCTGGGAGCTGTAGACCGGAGCTGTTCCTATTTGGCCATCTTGGCTCCACCCTCAAATTGATTTTTGACAAAATATGTAAAGACAATTCAAAGCAGAAAAAGTAGACTTTTCAACAAGTGGTGTTGAAATAATTGGGCATCCATGTGCCAAAAGATCAATCTCAACCTCAATGGCATATCTTATATAAAAATTAATTCAAAATTAATCACAAATATAAATGTCAAATTGAAAATTGTAAAACTTTTAGAATAAAACATAGGAGAAAATTCTGTGATCTAATGTTAGGGAAAGAATTCTCAGCTATGACAGCAAAAGCTCAACCCATAAAAGAAGAAAATGATAAATGGACTTATCAAAACTTAAAACTTTGCTCTTCAAAAAACACTGTTACAAGGAAGAAAAGACACACTACAGTTTGTGAGAAAAGATTTGTAAATCACCTGTCTGAAATAGAACTTGTAACAGGAACGTATGAAGAACTCTGAAAACTTAAACACATTATTAAATGGGCTAAAGACTTGAGCAGAAATTAACCAAAGAAGATATATGACAGGCAAATTACTGTAGAACTGTAGAATGTGTTAACTCTGTTCTTTCCTCCTTTATATGTAAATTTTATAAATATTTATTTACTTTATTTGAACTAATTTCCCCAAATTATTCAATATTTTCATATTTGTTTATAGGTAACTTTTTAGATTTAAAGACAAGTTTACAAATTTATTTACTCAACATTCTTACATCTTAGTCCTTTTTCTTAGGTTAAATTTTCTTCTTACTGTATAGTAGATGCTTTGTTTGTTTGCTTGCTTGCTCACTTTAAATATATTTTTCCCTAACTCCTAAATGATAGTGAAGCTGGACATATATTTTTTGGTTGGCGGTTCATTTCTTTCACCCTTGTGAAGATTTTTCCATTATCTCTGGCTTCCTGTTGCTGTTGATATGTCTACTGTTTAGTTGGAATTCTTTTATATATATTCTTAAGAGATAATCCTTTTCTGCTGTAGCTTTCAAGATTTCTCACTTGGTATTTGGTGTTTTGCAGTTTTACTGTGATGTATCTAGATAAAAGATCATTTTTATTTACCACTTCTGGCACTCACTGTGATACTGAAAAATTCTCCCCCATTATCTCTATTTTTTCCTTCTGGGAGTCTTATCAGGCATAGGTTAAATTTCATTTTATCCTCCATGCCTTTTTTATAATTTTCAACTATATTACCCTCTTTGCTGCATTATAATAATCTCCTCAAATCTTACAGTCCATTAGTTATCTTTACCTGCGTATAATCTACTACTAAAGCATTCTATCAAGTTTTTAATTTTAGTGACTTCATTTTTGATTTCTAGAAAATCCATTTGATTATTTTTCAAATATGCTTGGTCTTTTCTAATCATGTCTTTTTTTCTCCTTTATTTATTTTATTTTTATATGTTTAGTTATTTTTAAACATATGTATTTTCTATTATCCAAGTGTTCTAATATCTAAAAGTCTCAGGTTTTATCTTACAGTTTGTTGTTTCACTGATTCTCACTCTTGGTAAATATTTTTTAGTGTAGTTACTTAGATTTGGATTATGAGCTCATCTTCAGCAGGGCTTTTCACTGTGGGAATTGAGGTCCAGTGCATGGAATGTCCCTCAAAAATGTTCGTTTTTCTTCTGCTAGCTGTCATTAGCAAAAGTACTACTAATTATTTGTTAACTTTTTAGTTTGGGGATTTAACCCTCACACTTGCACGAATGGCCATGGTTGCATGTTCTAAAAGGAGCTTTTTTATTCTACCAAGAATCCAGAGCAAAAGAAAATGGATAATTTTTTTTCTATTTGTGCTTTCACTGAAGTTGTAGCATTTTGAGCATCCTAACATTATATGAAGATATGAGTTTTGATGCACCTCTTTGGATGGATTTAAATCCTAATCTGATATCTTCATTTGAGCATCAGAAATAGAGTCCTTAGATTTTACCATGACTCAGTCTCTACCACCCAATTTATCACCCACTCTCACCTCTAGTAACCATGGCATCAGCTATTGAGGTTACCACTCAGGTTCATTTCAGGGACCTAATGATTACCTTCCAGTGAGCTCAGCTGTGCATTTAGACAGGTTTTTTGTTGTTGTTGTTGTTGTTGTTGTTTTATTGTGGTAGTGGTAGCATTTGGGGGTTAGTTTTATTTTTATTCCTTGGAACAGTATTCCCCCAACTATTTTTTAATCAGGGCGCATGTTTCAAATAATATTTACATGACAATCTGAGGTTAAATGGAAGAGAGGAGGCCTGCTTTTGCCTCTGACTAGCCAAGTTGCTTAACATTTCCATATCCATTTTCCCATCTGTGAAATGGATGCAACAATAGTACCTACTCTATAAAGTTGTTATAAAAATTAAATGAATTAGTATCTGTCAAGTGCTTAGAATCTACTTGGCATATAGTAAACACTGTTTAAGAATTTTTTATATAAAATGAAAATAAATAAGAAAATGTCAGCAGTGTTCTAGTATATTAATGTGTATCATTAAAACAAAGAAAGTTCATTTTACTTTAAAACCTGGCACTAATTGTGTCAATAAAGTATTAATAAGAACCAAAAGTGTTTTTATTTGAAATCACTAGGTTAGCACACCTGAAGTTGAATGGTAACATTCACTCAATCCAATTCTCATCACTCAATAACAACATTTCTCTTCTCCATCCTATATATTCACCTTGTCACTGACATGTCTCAAATTCCTGTAAGCAAAAAATTGTAGATAACAAGTAAAGTGACTACTGCATCTCTCCATTTCCCACTCAGAGAAACACCCAGAGTTTCTAGGAAACACACAAATCCCAAAAGGAAATGAAATTAAAGGATTATAGGCGTTTCTTTTATCCTCATTTTAACTTCTCAGGAATGACCACTTTGGCATATTGCATATTGGAGTCTCTATCAGCCAGCACCAGTCCAGTGGAGAATAACTTCCTGAGGAACACAACAAGATTTCCAACAATCCATATATTTCTGTATATTTGGAGAAAGCCAAATTTCCAGTTATAAATATTTAAGCTCAAAGTTAATACCCTCTTCCTTTGATTTGAATGGGCTTCTAATACTTGCATTTTCATTTCTTGGTCTGGCTAGAAATGACTTAAAAACTAAAGCAGAGGCTGTCATATCTTTTCCTAGAATCTCTCTTAAAAGTTCTTTTTTTTAATAGGGTATTTTAGGGAAAGCTTCCCTAACTATCCATGTTAAGGAAGAAAAAAAAACATTAACCTTTAGGTTAAATCTTACCTGGTCATCAATAAGTTTTAAAGTCAAAGCAGGAAGGGACTAGTCATAATTACCAAAAAAAAATCACACAGAGTTCAGTAACACCTCTCAGTAAGTCCGACACAGGCAATTTTTCTCCTTGCATTGGCTCCAATGATCATGTCCTCAGTTCAGCTGGCTTAGGTTTGCTTGCATTTAGGAGTCATGTTGTTGGAAAAAAAATGTTTATATTTAGATATTAGAGTTCCAGTCAGGGGGATTAGATGCTCACACTATCAGAATATAGGATTACTGTGTCCCACAGGGAGAACAGCAAACTTGCACCTAGTGTTCACTGACCAGAAGAATAAGCAGAATCACCTGCCCAACTTAAATAGCCTTCTTTCCTTCCCTGGAGTTAAGTGTCATCAGATTTAATCATTCTTTGTATCTATGATGATGTAAAATTTGGTTTCACTGGTTTCCAACATATTTTTTGAAAATTAAAAGAGAAAATGGAGAACAGCATTTGAATCAGTAACGATTCAAGATCTAGCCTAGATTTCCCAGAGGAATAATCATAAAAGAGAGTCAAAAAGTAGAATTTGACATAAATGATATAATTTCTGGTTTATATGCTACTAAACTTGCTTACTGATGCTTAAAATGGCTGAACATTTGATAATAGCAAAGATGTCTTTTCCTTTAAAATCTTTGAGCTTTGTGCTTTAAGAGACATTCTTTCAATACATCAAAAAAATGAAAACGTGTGACTCAAAATATGCATTTCATACTTGTTTTCAAATTGTTCTAGGGAGTACAAGATTCAAGAGACATTTGTCAGAAGAATTCAGTTCATTAGAACTAGAATCAACTATTGAAATTTTCAGGAAGGCATATATTAACACACAGCATACAAAATAAATTTTTAACAATTAGAGCTGCCGAAGAATGAAATAGGTTCTCTTATGAATTTATGAGTTTCCTAACAGTGGATGCATAAATGGAATAATTGTACATGAAGGCATCTAGTTACAGAAGGTTCTCATATGTTTATAAACTTGAATCACACTCAACCCGGATGATTTCTTATCAGAGCACTACTAGGTATGACTTGAATGAGCTAATTCCTAAGATCTCTTTGAGTTCTAAAAGTCTTTATTATTTACTAGAAAAAAAATGGTTCACTTATTTATAATTATCCCCCCTCTTTGAATGTGTTGGACTCTTCCAGAAACAGTCAAGGCAAGCTGCAACGTGAGAAACGGTCACAACACAGTCAGTCCAAGGTTAACTAAGGAACCCCAACCAAGTCACAACAGTAGCTCTAGATTAGAGTGGGAATTGTGAATACAAAGCAAACAAATATCCTTTGAAATCAGAATAAACAGACTGTAACTTAATTTGGTTATTGTGTAGTCCTGATAAAAGACAAGTTGAGATTTGCTTTAGTCTGTTTTGCGTTGCTAAAAAGGAATACCCAAGACTAGGTAATTTATAAAGAAAAGAGATTTATTTTGCTCATGGCTCTGCAGACTGTACAAGCATGGCACCAGCATCTGCTCGGTCTCTGCTGGGGCCTCAGGAACCTCCCAGTCACATCAGAAGGCAAAGGGAGAACAGGCATGTCACATGGTAAGAGAGGGAGCAACCAGCTCTCATGTGAACTAACAGCAAGAACTCACTCATCACCATGGGAAGGGCACCAAGCCATTTATGAGGGATCCACCCATATGACCCAAACACCTCCCTCTAGGCCCTGCCTCCAACATTGGGGATGACATTTCAACATGAGATTTGGAGGAGACAAACATCCAAACCATAATCAGGTTTGCTTCAATCACAATCTTTTGCTTATTCTGGAAAATACTGGCTTGAACTTTATTCTACTGGAAATAAACCAAGATATTAGAAGGTCCTTGAGATCTTCCCCAAATTTGCATCTCTGAATAAGACATATCAGGGCACATTTCATGTGGTACATATTTTAAGATGTCTGTTAACTTAAATAAATAGAGTTCAATTTTTGTGGGGAAAAAAGGGAAATCTTGCACACTGTTGGTGGAAATGTAGATTGGTGCAGCCATTACGGAAAACAGTATGAAGGTTTCTAAAGAAATTAAAAATAGAACTACCATATGACCCAGAAATCCCTCTTTTGGGCATATACAGAAAGGAAATAAAATCACCACCTTGTAAAAATATCTGCACTCCCATGTTCATTATAGATTACTCACAGTAGCCAAGATATGAAAACAACCTAAATGTCCATGAACAGAATGGATAAATACACTGTAGTGTATATATACATAAACAATGGATTATTATTCACCCTAAACAAAGAAAAAGATCTTGCCATTTGTCACAGTATGGATGAGCTTGGAGCACATTATGCTAAGTAAAACGTGCCAGACAAAGAAAGAAAAAATATTACATAATATCACTTATACGTGGAATCTATTTTTTTTAATTCAAATATACCAAGATAGAGGACAAAAAGAGCAGTTACCAGGGTCAGCCTGCAGGGAGGAAACGGGGAGATACAGATCAGAGGATGTAAAATAGCAGGTATATAGGATGAACAAGTGTTGGGATCTAACGTACAACATGAGGACTATACGTAATAAAATTGTACTGTATCTAGGATTCAAGCTAAATGAGTAGATTTTAGCTGCTCTGGCCACAAAAACACAAAAAAAGATAACTGTAAGGTAAGTGTATTAATTTATATCACCGTAGTAGCCCTTTTACTATCCATATGTATTCCATAACATCATGATATATATATATATTTAAATATGTATAATAAATATATAATATATCATATTTATATATTTAAATATATAATAAATATATATCATATTTTATATACTTAAATGTACAATATATAATATATATTTAAATATATAATAAATTTATTTTAAAAAATAAAATTAAAAATTTTTTAATTGAGTAAAATTTTATTTGTCCTTTATTAAAACCATTAAGGCAGATGAAATAGGAAGCATTATCATGGAATGCAAAATAATCATCATTAATTACCTTTGCTCATTATAATTTTTATTTAATAAAAACAAAGATATCAATACACTGACATATCAATATTATGATAAATATCAATAAAAGTTAGCTAATGAAAAAGTACATAGATAATAATTGGTATTTGATTAGAAATCTTAGTGATTAAAGAGGCATTTCCTAAGAAAGGTTTATTTCCTCAGATTACTGAGGTAATGGTCTCCAATTATTGATCTAGTACCCTGTCAGTAATAAATTTGAACATGACCTCCAATGTACAGACATTTTTGTTAGTTTATAAATTATATTTATGTTGTATTTCCACATTAGCTGAATTTTAAAGTGCAAAATACATTTGGGGCGAGTTGCATTGTAACAAAAGTAGATAATTTAAATAATCTTTTTGATCCTTTCAAATTTCTTTGTCTAGCTTCTTATTATTTAAGTATATTATGTGGTAGATAAAGAGACCTTACACACAGAAAAATAGCTTAAAGATTTTTGTTCCTTGCACGTGTATTATTAGACTATCTTCAATTCAAGTTGTTTTGTTTGTTTCTGTTTTGCAAGAAATGTGTAAGCTTCTTATTTGTTTAATTAGAGTCTCATTTACTTGACAGAATCAGGGATTTCCTCCGGGTCCTGGAAATGTTTATTATCACAGGTGTCTTACTTCATTCTTGCTACTATAACAAAATACCTTAGAGAAAGTAGTTCTAGAGCCTGGGAAGTTCAAGATCAAGATGCCAACAGATTCAATGTCTGACGAGGGCCAGTTCCTTATAGATGACACCTGCTTTGTGTCTTCACATGGTGGAAGGGGCCAAAGGGGCTAGGAGGCTCCCTTCAATCCCTTTTATAAAAAGCATAAACCCCATTTGTGGGAGCTCTGCTCTCATGACTTCATTACCTCCCAAAGGTCTCACCTTTTAATACTATCATATTAGTGATGAAATTTCAACTCATAAATTGTGGTGAGGTCTCATTCGACCATAGCAATACAGATTGCCAATCCACTCATAGGAGGAAATACATACTGGCTCATGACTTAGGGGATAGAATTTATCCTAGCTGAGGTGTCATTTTTGCTGGATTTTTATAAATAGGAGATAGAATTTATTCTACCTGAAGTGTCATTTTTGGTGTGTTTTTATAAATGCAACACAACATCCTAACCTGCTAGAGTTTCCCTACCAAATGGATGTGTTGAATAATCAATGAGGACTTTGTCCTAGTTCATTTTGTGCTTCTATAGCAGAATGTCACTAACTAGGTAATTTATGATGAACAGATATTTATTTTCTCACAGTTCTGGAGGCTGTAAAGTCCAAGATCAAAGTTCTGGCATCTGTGAAAGCCTTCATTTTTTTTAAAAAAAAAAAAAAAAAAAAAAAAAAGCTTTTATTTTATTTTCAGGGGTACATGTGCAGGTATGGGTAAATTATATGTCACAGTGGTTTGGTGCACAGATTATTTCACCACCCAGGTAATAAGAATGGTATCTGACAGGTAGTTTTTCAATCCTCGCCCTCCTCTGGCCCTCCACCCCTAAGTAGACCCCAGTGTCTACTGTTCCCTTCTTTGTGTCCATGTGTATTCAGTGTTTAGCTCCCACTTATAAGTAAGAACATGTGGTATTTGGTTGTCTATTCCTGAGTCAGTTTGCTAAGAGTAATGGTCTGTAGCTCCATCCATATTGCTTCAAAGTTCATGATCTCATTCTTTTGTATTGCTGTGTATGTAGTATGCCATGGTGTATATGTACCACATTTTCTTTAAGCAGCCCACTGTTGATGGGCATCTAGATTGATTCCATGGTCTTTGCTATTGTGAACAGTGCTGTCACGAACATAGGCGTGCATGTGTCTTTATGGTATAATGATTTATATTCCTTCAGGGATATACTCAATAAAGGGATTGCTGGGCTGAATGGAAGTTCTGAGTTCTTTGAGAAATCTCTAAACTGCTTTCCACAGTGGCTGAACTAATTTACATTCCCACCAGCAGCATACCAGCATTCCATTTTCTCTGCAACCTCACCAGCAACTGTTATTTTTGACTTTTTAATAATAGCGATTCTGACTGTGTGAGATGGTATCTCACTGTGTTTTTGATTTGCATTTCTCTAATGATTAGTGTTCAGCATTTTTATATGCTTGTCAGCCACATGTATGTCATCTTTTGAAAAGTGTCTGTTTATGTCCTTTGCCCACTTTTAAGTGAGGTTGTTTGTGTTTTTTTCTTGTTAATTTATTTAAGTTTCTAAGAGATTCTAGACACTAGATGGGAATGCATAGTTTTCAAATATTTTCTCCCATTCTGTAGGCTGTCCGTTTATTCTGTTGAGAATTTCTTTTGCTGTGCAGAAGCTCTTTAGTTTAATTAGTTTCCATTTGTCAATTTTTGTTTTTGTTGCAATCGCTTTTGGTGTCTCCATCATAAAATCTTTGTCAAGGCCTATGTCTAGAATGATGTTTCCTGCAAGGCCCTTCTTTTTGCAATATCACATGGTGAACGAATGCTATATCCTCACAATGCAGAAGGTAGACAGGCCAGAGAGAGTGGGGGAGCCGAGGGGAGATAGAGAGGAAAAGAAGGCAGCTGAACTCCTCCTTTCATGAGGAATCCTCTCCTGTGATAATGTCATTAATCCATTCATTAGGACAGAGACCTCAAGGCCTAAAAATCTCTTATAGGTCCCACCTCTTAATACTGTCACAATGGCAATTAAGTTTCAACATCAGGAGACGAATATTCAAACCACATTAGGCTTGCTGGGAAAGACTGAGCACCATACAAATATCAATATTAATCAAATTAACAATCATTATTATTATTACATTAAGATGACCATAGCAGTCTTTGTATGTAGGTCCACTTTGGACAAAAGTTGTGAAATAGGTGCTTTGTCTTTGACTTGACTCTCCTTTTAGCAGGATCTTCTGTGTCAGCTCAGTATCAGTTCCTTAATTACATCTAAATTGTGATAGAATTCTAAAAGAAAAAGGCTAGCCAGATCCAGATCCTTTCATGCACTCTTTCAAGGATTTATTTGCTGGTCATTTATTAATTAAGCACCTACTATGCTTTGAAGCCACAATACTAAATACAAGAAATGCAACTGTGAGTAAGGTGGGCTGGTTCATCTCTTCCTGGAGCATATTGGAGCATCAATATCCCATTAGGTTACCGCTAGTGGAATCTTTCAGCTTGAAAAGAGATACCCCTTGAAGATCATTAGGAAGGTTATTTACAGGGAGTGGCACAGAGCATTCAGAAAGTTTTCAGCAGATCATAATATGCACATAGAAACCTACATACTCAAGCAAAAGTTTCATCTATCAGCACAAAAGTTTGTGTCCAGTATTTAAATCTACTCTTTCAATTATTGAAAAGAAAATCACCTAGGGGGCAGTTTTTTGGGAGGATAATGATAAAATCAGAGCATCAATAGTCTCAGAATTAGGCTATGAAAATTTTATGGCTAGGAAATATTTAATTTTGTTTTATTTCACTGTTACTCCACCCACCATTGTGTCTAGATTCACAGTGTGACCTCTCTAAATATTTGTTTAAGTAATATAAGTTGAAATATTTTCAAATTAGACAAAATTAAAAATAATCCAGTATGGCATTGTGAGAAAAAGATCAGTTTATTTTAGGAGACCTTTAAGAATATACTTTGGAGCAGGGAAATATGTATATTATGTGTAAGATGTGACAAAGCCGTTCCTCCTCTATACCAGTGGCCCGCAAAGTTTTTCTGTAAAAAGTCAGAGAGTAAATATTTTAGGCTATGCAGGCCATACAGCCTCTGTTACAACTGCTCAACTCTGCTATTGTAGCATGAAAGCAGTCATGGAAAAGATAAATAATTGAGAGTGGCTGTGTTCCAATGAAACTCTATTTACAAAAACATTTGGCTTGCAAGCTGTAGTTTGCCAACCCTTCCCTGTATCATAAAGTTACAGATACTATACAAAGTCAGAGAAAAGTATAGGATTTAGCCACAAACTTTTAATAGGGTCAAATCATCTAAGGACTTTAAAGAGCAATGAGTTAAAAAAAAATCATAAACTACTGAAGAAAAGTAATCCCAACTCTTAGATTTAACATAATATTTCATCAGATTTTCTATCAATCTTTATCCTGTACATATACCATTCTGTACATAGCATACATACTTGAGATACACAATGTATATACAATTTTGTATAGGTTCTAAAATTAAAATTATTGTGTAAATTTTTTGTCATTAAAAATTCTTTGTCATTCAAAAAATTCAAAATTTTTTTGTCATTAAAAATTAATATTCCAACACATGGATGCCATAATTTACTTAGACTTCTCCTAATTTTTGACAAACACTTATAAATTTTCTACTTTGTAAAAGCAAATTACACTATGGAAATTACAAACATCTAAGAAATGTTCATGATCCAAAAACCAAGATCAGTAAGAGGAACTCGAGCCTTCCCTTTACATGTAGAATACATTTGCCTTATCTATGTTTTATTCTAAAAATCCCTTTAAAAAATCACAGCAAAGAAATGTGAAAGACATAAACCTTAAAAGGAAAAAGAGAAGAGCAAATGACAGCATCCAAGAGATGTCCACGAGTTGGGAAAGAAAGACAGAGGACAGATGAATGGTTCCTGTGATTTATTAGGTACCTGTGACATTCAGAGAAAGCCAAAAGGTGAAAAAGCAAGTCAATTTGAAACCTAACATTTCCACTTTCTTATAGTTTCTTCTTGTTTTTTCAGTTTGCTGCTTTCTTCTCTAAATCCCTCAAGTACATTTTATCATGCTTCTCCTAAATTCTAGGCAATTATGCTTCAATATTTCTGCTTTAGATCACACAAGATACATATATTGTCCAATTTCTTTTTACATAAGTTAGGATATGGCCAAAGTGTTATCACAGGAAGACCCAAAATGCGGTAGCTTAAAGAACATAGATATTTTTTGCTCTCTCATGTGACAGGTGTGGGGAAAGCAGTGGTCAGTGAGTTGCTCCACCCCATGCGATCATTCACAATGCCGGCTTCCTCCCATTGGGCTGCTCAACCATCCCGTGGTCACTGGAATCATCTGCATGGTTAAGATGAGTTGCCACCAAGCCTGGGTCCCCACCAGTGGAAAGGGTAGAGAAAGCAAAGAGGAGGCATGCCCAGTGCCGTAAGACTTAAGGATGGAAGTAGCAGAAATCATGTCTGTTTACATTCCGCTGATGAAAACTTAATCACATGACCACACCTAAATGAAGCAGAGGCTTAGAAATGTAGTCAAACTTAGCAAGAAAGATAATTAATTTTGTAGAAAGCTAACATTAGCCACCACACTTGACTTTCTTTCTTAGGTTGTACTTCACAGGCATCTAGTAATTTTCATTTGTGAGCTCATGTACGCCTGGATATACCAGTTCCTCTGTTTCATGATGTCCTTTGGGGAAAGGCTGAACCCCAGGTGTTCATGGGGAAAGGGTGAATGCTTGAGAATAGTTGTGAGCTAGTACCTGTCTTCATCCACTCCCCACCACAGCAAGGCTTAAACCCTGCCATCTTACCATTTGGCGAACTCTCAGATCCACACAAGCGCTGTGATCACTGATTCCTGCCATGAGAGGAACCTGTGGTGCAGTGATTGCCCCACAGAGAGGAAAAGCAAAAGCAGAATTCAGAAAGGTTTCCACCCACCTAACCACTGCCCTGCCTTGCCACCCCAGGCTGCACAAGTATCTCTCCCTCTCTTTCTCTCTCTGTCCTTCTCTGTCTCTCTCTCTCTGGGGGAAGGAGAGGGGGGTTCTTGTGCAAGTTACTTAAGTTATTAAGTTAGTAGGTCTTAGTTTCCCATCAGTAAAGGTGAGGTAATAATAACTACCAAAACCCATAAGGATTATTTTAAGATAATGGCATACATATGTAAGAATCTTGCTATCCTTCTGGAAACATATGAGGCAGTCAATCAGCGTTAAGTATTGTCTTCCCCTATCTCACAGAGTCTCTAAAAAAAATGTTAGGAGGTCTGAAATATGGTCTATCACAAAGTCACTTTGTGTTTTTGGTGAAATCACCTACCCATATATATGTAGGTAAAGTCACAGAAATCTAGAAACAGCTAGAGGGTGGACAATACATTCTAGCAATCTCTTCTAGCCATCATCTCCTCTAATACAAGTTGAAACTGATCAGTGTGACCTGCAGGTCCGGGTCATCATACAGACAGCCATGATCCATGTTATTTCTCAGTACTGTGTCCCAGTAAACTATGTTGCCAGATTGTTGTAGAAAGTACTCTATCTCCTTATCAATAGAAAAGACTACAAACAACTTAGATTTCCATCACCTCTGTACTACTGGAATGTAGAGAGAAAAGAGTTTGGACTAGTCTGTTTGAGAAAGAAACACACACAGACAGAGACAGAGAGACAAATAGCATGCTACTCTGCTATTATTATTATTATTATTATTATTATTACTATTATTATTTGAGACAAAGTCTTGCTCTGACACCCAGGCTGGACTGCAGTGGTCCAATCTCGGCTAACTGCAACCTCCACCTCCCGGGTTCAAGTGATTCTCCTACCTCAGCCTCCAGAGTAGCTGGGATTGCAGGCGCATGCCACCACACCTGGCTAATTTTTGTATTTTTAGTAGAGACAGGCTTTCGCCATGTTGGCCATGTGGGCTCGAACTCCTGACCTCAAGTGATCCACCCACCTCAGCCTCCCAAAGTGCTGGGATTACAGACACGAGCCACCCCGCCCAGGCCTTCTATATTATTTTATCTGAAATGTTACTCTTCCTAAAATTTTGATGTTAAAATAGCCTTTCTCTTATGAAATGATGATGTCAGTAGATGTAGCTGTGGTTTTTGTTATTTAAATATTTTCCAAAAAATGTAAAGTGAGCTATCTTTTGTGATGTTGTTTCCTATGATTTTTGAAAATCTACTGTTAACAAAACTAAACAAACTAGAAACTATTACTTAATGACTGTAGAAAGATAATTCAAATTTATCCTGTGTGGAAAAAGAACAAATTCGAGAATTTTTTTGGTTGTCCAATATTTTGCAGGATTCAAAGATATCTAGTTTCATGTGCACTATGCCTGCTTTCTCTAAATATCCTTAAAATGGAGCTATTGAATTCTACTTAACTTCCATTTGTGAGAAATATTAGTGAAAGTTGTTATAAACATATGCACATTGCTGCCATGTTTTGGTTTACCTTTGCCTGATATTGTCCTATGTTTCTGGCTTACCCACCTTTACAATATTGGAATAATTAGACATACTAAATTAAGGGTATACTGTGATTTCAGCTCCCTTTCTCTCTCTCTTTCTCTCTCTCTCTCTCTCTCTCTCTCTCCCTCTCTCCTCTTTCTCTCTGTCTCTCTCCTGCCTCTCTCTCTCTCTCTCTCTGTCTCTCTCGCTTTCTCTCTTTCTTTCTTTTGATACTCTAGGATAGAAGTTTACTTTTTCTTTAGAACTTTTTTCAAGTAAATCTAACAAACAAAACAAATGTAATTAGAGCCACCTCATAGATTGATGATGGGCAACGGTGAAGAGGATTGGAGAGATCTGAGAGAGCAAGGTGGGTCCTCATCAACTTAAGTCCCATGTGACAGTCTCTGAGACATGACACCTAGGAATCCCTAGAGTCCAGTTTGAAAAATCACTGCCCTAGTACAGTCAACTATCATGCTGCCTCAATTGCTTTTTCCCCCATCATTTCCTAAAGGTATGGTTCCTGAGTGGTTTTATCATGAGAAAGAATTGCCTTTTTAGCAAATGGCTACTAAAAAATTTTAAGTGTAGGGTATTTTTGTTTTTCTTCCCAAATATTCAGTCATTTTAATATCATTTGCCTCTAAATTAACACCATTAAATATAGTTAAAGAGAATTTCTTTCTCCATAATAGATGTAGGATTTATTAGAATAATTCATTATTCCCTAAAGACAGCAATACATATATATTGCAATTGTTGCAAATCATGTCGTTATCATCTTTCCTGTTTCTTTTTTTCATACTGAAGCCTTGTTTTGCAAAATCAAAATTTAGGAACTTCATTAAATGCATTGCCTGATGCACCTGTTTGGACTCTGGGTATCATTTTCTTTTCTCTAACACATTTTTATTCAAGATGTGTTGAATTTTCCAGAGGCTGTCTGAGGACTTAGAGACATCTGTACCCAGCAGTTTGCTTAAACCAACAAAAAGTGTTGAAGCAAAAATCAAACTTTGGGGCATCAATTTAACCATTCCTTTTCAAGTATCTTAGATTGATGGAACATGTCAGCCCTGATACATCCACCGTCATTGTTTACTACTTAGGATAACTGTTAAAGCAAAACTGACTGCACTCTAATGAAAGCTGTCACCGGGTGGTGTGAGAATCATGAAGGGAAAATAATACAGGGAATAATATAAAAAGCTCTGATTGGAATGGAATGACTATAAGAAAAACAGTTCAAGTACCAGAAATAGTATCATGCTATATAATTTAATTTATACAATTAATTGTGTACAAGTAATTAAGCCTATTAACAAAGAAGTAAGCATCCAAAAGAAGAGGATATACAATCAAGCCTTTATATTCTCAGAATGTGGTTTAGTTGTAGGATCCCAATTTTCTGAAAAGTTTCCTTTTGTCATATGTAAATGTGCAGTGATCATTTTACTCACTTTTTTCAATGAACTTATAAATTTATATTTGAAGAACTTATGTACAAGCAAAAGGGGTAAAAATAATGGGGTAGGCAAAGAGGAGGAAGTGTGACTAACAAGTGGAAATTATTTTAAAAAATTATGATAAACCCCTCATAAGAGCCAATTTTTGGTCTCTGAGTCTCACATCAGCTTTCCAGAATCAGGTTTTTTTAAATGTGTTGGAGTGAGGGGAAGCCACTAAGGAAAATAAACACACAAGATCATGGCCAGCAGGGAACAGGATGGATGGCTTTAATATTTACATTAAGAGTCCTTGTGAGGCCTTCAAATATATTTACATAGATTTTGTGATAGATTGATCACTGTATCCATGCCCTTTGCAATTTGACATTAAAGTTCCTCCCGTCCAGAAGTGGAGATTATTTCCCTGCTTCTTGAATCTGGGCTCATCTTGTGACTTGCTTCTGCCATTAGAATACAGTAGCAGTAATGCTGTCTGATTCTGAGCCTAGTAATCGAGAGGCCTGAACACTTCTACTTACTCTCATGGAACACTGCCACTGCTATATAAAACAAGCCCAGCCTATCCTGGCCAGACAGGTGAGTGAGGCCACTCTAGACCAGCCAGACTCTAGCTAACCAACCGACTGACAATCAGTACATGAGCCCAATCAAACCCAATGAAGACAGGAAAAACTAGAAAAACTATCCAATCAACCAACAGACTCCTAAGCTAAATGAATGCTTATTGTTTTAAGCCACTGAGTTTTGATAAAGTTTGTTAACAGCAATAGTTAAGTGATTCAACCTCCAAACAAAATATCACCTTCATCATCTATATGCACATTGAGTCATTCATTTATTCAATCCCTTAGATTTTTTAGCAGTACCAATAATATACTAACTGTTAGGATACAAACTATTCAACAAGGATCTAATGAGCATCAGCTTAGCTCTATAAGAACTTAAAATCCAAAAATGGGTGCAGACAGGCATGATCCCAAAAAGTTAATTTTCTAGTAGTAGAAACAGACATTTGGGGGTTAAGTACAAGGTGGGCAGCGCAAGAGAATGTGGGGTTGATGGAACTGTTGTGTAAAGAACTGTGGTGTTATTCACATGACTTTATCCATCTGTCAAAACCCATAGAAATGTATACCACAAAGTAAACTTTCTTACATAATTTTTTTCAAAAATAATATATAGGAGAAATTGAAAAGTCAGTGTAGATTTTTACAAATGAATCTAATAGTATAACAATAAATTATATAACTGCATTAAAGGAGGTAAAGAAGAAAGAAGCTGAGGTAAGTAACTTTGGAAAACAGTATTTTGACTAGATATGGTAAGTTAAAGACGAAAGGAACTACATATGAACATTGTATTTCTGTACTCCACTTGATACTTTTCTTCATTACAGGGATGTGGAAAAGTAATCTGGAAAATACTTCATATGAATAATGAGGTTAAATAAGTAAATAACTATATTGTAGGTATTAAGAGCTAGGTTTCTCACTGTGAAAGAAAGAAGTTATAAATAAAGGGAAAAGGTTTTAGAATGAAACGTGCTAAATTGTATGAGTATGAACTTATGCTTGTTTCTTTTAAAACATAAATATACAGAAAGAGAGATATAAAAATAAAAATGGATATGTGTATGCATGGGTAACTACACACAAAGATATTTCCTAGCTCTGTCTGCTGCAAGGGATTACAAGCACTAATATCTCAGTAGGAATGATCACACTTAGCATCCACTTCTTGGTTTCTAAGTACTATTCTCTAATAAAAAGAACCAAGGCTTCTTGGAAAAATGGTTGATTCCAAGGCTGCGGTAGTTAAAATACAAACCGAGCCTGGGGCATCTTGTTGTGCTAGAAAATAAAGATAAGGAAATACTAAAGAAATGATAGGGGCATACAGAAAGGTTACAGGAGTCAACCTGAAGGTATGCCAAATGGTTAAATTCATAACAAATTGAACACCAAAGCGAATTAAAGTAATATTAGCTTATACTCCAAAGAATAAGTATCCTTGATTTCAGATTTTTATTTACCTAAAATGTTTATGTATATAAACATAAATAAATGGAGCAGAAGGGACACAGCTTTTCTACTTACTCACTTATTCTTTTCCAATTAATATATATACAAGAAATGAGAGAAATGGAAAATAGCCATTAGAACAATAATTGCTGCAGGCAAGATCCACTGATTAATGTTAAAATTAGTGAGTAAACATTCAAGAGAAACAGAATATTTGGATAATTTCGAAGTTCCTTTTCCAAAATAAATGTTTATTAATTACAAAGAGAAAACTTGTAAATTTACAGTGGAGAAACCTGACAGAAATCACCTTAAACAACTGTCCAAAGTTAATTTCACAGGTAATAAAACATATCTACATGCTGTACCTCCATATAATGCACTGAAAATGATACATTACTTTTGTGATGTTTTTCCTAATAATGTATGGCTTAAATATAGTCATGAGAAAATAGCAGACAAACCCAAGGTGAATGATGTTCTACAAAATACCTGACCAGTACTTTTCAAAAGTCTCAAGGTCATGAGAGTAAAGGAAACTGTCATAGACAGAGAAACTGTCATAGATTGGAGCAGACTAAGGTGACATGACAAATAAATGCAATGTGGGATCCTGGATCTGATCCTGGAAGGAAAAGAGTATTAGTGGATGATATGGTTTGGCTGTGCCCCCATCCCAATCTCATCTTGAATTGTAACTCCTGCAGTTCTGATGTGTTGTGGGAGGGACCCAGTGGGAGGTAATTGAATCATAGGGGCAGGTCTCTCCCATGCTATTCTCGTGATTGTGAATTTGTCTCATGAAATCTAATGGTTTTAAAAGGGGAGTTTCCCCATACAAGCTCTCTTGTCTTGTCTGCTGCCAAGTAAGATGTGCCTTTCACCTTCCACCATTATTGTGAGGCCTCCCCAGCCACACGGAACTGTAAGTCTAATAAACCTTTTTCTTTTGTAAATTGCCCAATCTTGGGTATGTCTTTGTGAAAACAGACTAATACAGTGGAAAAATCAGCATAGTCCAAACAGTCTTTTGCTAAGTAAATTGTATTGTGCAAATATTAATTCTTCTTTTTTTCACTTGCCAGTTGTGCTCTGGTATGTTACATTTTGACATTAGGGGAAGCTGGGTGAAAGGTACAAGAAAAAATTTTGCTCCATTTTTACAACTCTTCCATAAGTCTAAAATTATCTCAAAATAAAAAATTCAAAACTAGGTATTCATAAGTAATTTCTTCTATTAGTAGACACTGCTAAAGTCTTCCAGAATATATCTATGGCTTTGGATCCACCAAATTCAGACAGGTGAAGTTTTAATGTATATTTATTTATGTCTATTCAATCTGTCAAATACATCAATTGAAATGTGGACTAGATTGCCAGATTCGTTAGGTCAACTAAATAATGCTAAATCTCCATCTGTGCATGATGTTATATAGACATTGATCAAAATAGATACCAGTTTTATGATCGTTCATTGCACTTGGCATTGTATCAGGAAAATATACTTTAAAAGCCCTATTTCATTCAAGCAAGTGATACTAAAATAAAATAAACCTGAAGTGCATATAGTATGACAGGCACTGTGCTTGGTAGTAGGTTAAAGTAGCAGGCAAAACATACCTCAAAATAAAATAAACCAGGAGTACATAAAGTATGACAGGCATTGTGCTTGGTAGTAGGTTAAAGTAGCAGGCAAAACATACCTCATTTCTGTCCTAATATAGTTTAGATTCTACCACTGAAATTATCCAGTTCTTTGGGTTTCTTATAGATCCTCTCAGACAATTATCAAAAAGTCTATAATAACACACAAACTTCTTAAGTGCAAAAATTCTATATCTTCTACTTCCTCTAACTCCAATGGAATGTGTTATATATACAACTTAAATTCTCAATAAATGTTTTTGGTTAGCTGATCCAGACCCAAGATGTGAACATTGCAAAGACATTTTTATTCAAGCCTATAAAGACTCTTGCATGCAAAAGGAAAAGACAGCTTTTCTAAAAAACAAAACAAAAAAAAACAAAACAAAACTATTTTGTGTTGTAAAGAACACAATGTGAAATCTACCCTTTTAGAAAATTTTCTGTGCAATATAGTGTTGTTAATTACAGGGATAATGTTATACAATAGGCCTCTAGAATGTATTCATCTTGCATAACTGAGACTTTACTCTCATTGATTAGTGACTCCCATTTCTCCCTCCCTCAAGCCCCTGGCAACCACAATTCTGCTCTCTGATTCTGTGAATTTGACTATTTTAGATCCCTCATATAAGTGAAATCATACAGTATTTATCCTTCTGCAACTGGCTTATTTCACTTAACATAATGTTCTCAATGTTTATCCATAGTATAAAACACGCCAGCATTTCCTTTTTTAAAGTCTGAACAATCCCCCATTGTTTCTATCACATTTTCTTTATTGAAAATAAATAAAATGGGGGATAAATAGTTAGGTTTTTCCCACATCTTGGCTATTGCATCTAGTGCTACAACAAACACAGAAGTGCTAATATCTCTTTAAGATCTTGATTTCAGTTCTTTTGGAAAAGTACCCAGAAGTAGGATTGCTGGATCATATGGTAGTTTATTTTAATTTTGTGAGGAATCTCCACACTGTTTTCCATAGTTACTGCACCATTTTGCAGAAATTAGAACAAGGGTTCTAATTTTTCCACATCATCACCAACACGTGTTGTTTTTCATTTCATGGATATGACTTCCAAAACATAGGCAACAAAAGCAGAAATAGACAAGTGAGACTACATCAAACTAAAAATCTTTTGCACAGCAAAGAAAACAATCAACAGAGTAGGAAAAAGGCCTACAGAATGGGAGAAAATATTTGCAAATTATATATCAAATAAATGGTTGATTTCCAAAATATATAAACAATTCCCATAGTTCAGTAGCTAGAATAATAACAATAACCTGATTTTTTAAATGAGCTAAAGACTTAAAAAGACATTTCTCCAAAAAAGATGTTAAAAATTGCCAAAAGGTATAGGAAAAGATGTTCAACATCACTAATCATCAGAGAAATGCAAATCAAAACCACGATGAGATATAACTTCACACGTTAGGCTATTATTAAGACAGTTTTGAAAAATGTTCTCTACATTGCAGATTGCAGCAAATTGCTCAAGTTCGCCATCCAGCTTACCTTTCACCATGTTAACTAGAAGAGCAGCTGCAGAACTGTGAGAAACAAATGACCTATTAGCATACCCATTTCTGCCCAGCAATAGGAGAAGATTCTCTCTTCTCTTTGGTAATTCCAATGGTCAGATGTTGAAAAACATTATTGAGTAAGGAACTATGCAAACTGATATATCTATTAGTACAACTGAGATCTATGATTTAAAGAATAAGAATAAATTGAAAAATATGTTCTAAAAATCATTTCTAAGTCAGTTTCAGGTCATTCCCTACCAAATATTTCCTTTCACTGCACCCAAAACTAGAATTATTTTGTGATGCATAATTTCTAGTTATATGAAATATATACCATGCAGCTAACTCTCAATTTATGGAAATAAAGAATGACTGAATAAACCAGGGCCTCAGGAGAATGATTAAGGTGGTCAAAGAGCCGTCTTATGAGGTATGGTTGAGGTATCAGTTATACAATTGTTCCTTGGTATCTGCAGGAGATTAGTTCCAGGACCCTTGACAAATAACAAAATCTGCAAATACTCAAGTCCTTTATATAAAGTGGCACAGTATTTGCATATAACCTATGCACACCCTTCCATATACTTTCAATCTCTCTAGATTGTTTATAATACCTAATACAATGTAAATGCTATGTAAATAATTGTTACACTGTATTGTTTTTATTTGTATCTTTTTATTTTGTATGTTATTTTTATTGTGTGGTTTTTTTTCAAATATATTCAGCCTAAGGTTGGTTGAATCCACTGTCATGGAGGGCCAACCGAAGTTAGTTTACAGACCTAGGGAGGACAGGGTATTAGTCTTTGAGCATTATGCTTGTCATGTGGAAATATAATTAGACCTGTTCCATACTATGTTATTCAGAAGAGTAGATCAAGGACATAGAGGTGAAAATTACATGGGAGCAGTTAGCTAAATAATTCAAAATAGGGTTAGCAATAAATGACATAAAACCAAACATATAACAACTGAGAAAAGAGAGATTTTTTTTCTCCCTCTCTCAAATAAACAAAATCTGTAAATAAACAGTCCAGGTTCTTTGTAAGACCCCACAATCAAAGACCTAGGCAGTTGACACCTCAATATATGTCTTCTACCTCATGATCTAAGATGGCTACTTAAGTTCTAGCCATCGTGACTGCATTCCAGTCAGTAAGAAAGGGAAAAAAAGGGGGTGGGGGCAAGAAGGAGTTACATTCTCTCTCTCTTTAAGAGCATTTTTTGAAAGGTGTATACAAATTCTATTTATATTCCATTAGCCAGAACTTAATAATATGTCTATACTCAGCCACAAGGGAGGCTGGAAAATATATCTTTATTCCAGGAAACCATGCAACTAGTTAATAATCAGTGTTTTACCACTTAGAAAGGAAAGGAAAAGGAGAACAAATATTGGGGAGCAGCCAGCAGTCCTTTACTTGTCAATAAGCATGCTAATTCATTTAAATCTTTTCTCATTGCATTAGTCTGCTTGGACTGCCATAACAAAATATCACATACTGGTTAGCTTAAACAATAGAAATTTATTTTCTCACAGTTCTGGAGGCTGAAAGCCCAAGTTCAAGGTGTCAGCTGGCTTAGTTTCTCCTGATGCCTCATTTCTTGGCTTTGCTGATGGCCACCTTCCTGCTCTGTCCTCGCACGGCCTTTCCTCTGTGTCTGTGCATACCTGGTGTCTTTTATTCTTCTTATAAGGACACCACTCATATTGAATTGGATCCCCACCCTTATGACCTCATTTTTCTTCAATAGTTTTTGGGGTACAGGTAGTTTTTGAATACATGGGTAAGTTCTTTAATGGTGATTCCTGAGATTTTAGTGCACCCGTCAACCAGGCAGTGTACACTGTACCCAAAATGTGGTCTTTTATCCCTCATCCCCCTCCCAACCTTCTCCTCAAGTCCCCAAAGTTTATTATTCTTATGCCTTTGCATCCTCACAGCTTAGCTCCCACTTATAAGTGAGAAAAACGATATTTGATTTTCCATTCCTGAGTTACTTCACTTGAAGTAATGGTCTCCAGCTCCATCCAGGTTGCTACAAAAGACATTATTTTGTTTCTTTTTATGAAGGCTGAGTAGTATTCCATGGTGTATATATACCACATTTTCTTTATCCACTCATTTCTCAATGGGCATTAAGGTTTGTTCCATATCTTTACATTTGCAAATTATGCTGCTACAAACAGGCATGTGCATGTGTCTTTTTCATATAATGACTTCTGTTCCTTTGGCTAGATACCCAGTAGTAGGATTGCTGAATCAAACGGTAGTTCACCTTTAGTTCTTTAAGTAATCTTCATACTGTTTTTCATAATGGTTATATTCATATACATTTCCACCAGCAGTGTAAAAGTGTTCCCTTTTCACCACATCCATGCCAACATCTATTATTTTTTGACTTTTTAGTTATGACCATTCTTGCAGGAGTAAGGCGGTATCTCTTTGTGGTCTTAATTTGCATTTCCTTGATGATTAGTGATATTGAGCATTTTTTCATAATGTTGGTCAGCTGTTTGCATATCTTCTTTTGAGAATTGTCTATTCATGTCCTTTGGCCACTTTTTGATGGGATCATTTTTTTTTTCTTACTGATTTGTTTGAGTTCCTTGTAGATTCTGGATACTAGTCCTTTGTCTGATGCACAGTTTGAGAAGATTTTCTCCCACTCTGTGGGTTGTCTGTTTACTCTGCTGATTATTTCTTTTGCTGTGCAGAAGATTTTTAGTTTAATTATGTCCCATTTACTTATTTTTGTTTTTGTTGCATTTGTTTTTAGGGTCTTAGTCATGAATTCTTTGCCTAAGCCAATGTCCAGAAGAGTTGTTTATTTTTTTTTGAAGTTATCTTAAAGAATTTTTTTTATCATTTCAGGTCTTAGATTTAAGTCTTTGATCCATCTCGAGTTGATTTTTGTGTAAGGTGAGAGATGGGGATCCACTTTCATTCTTCTACATATGGCTTGCCAGTTTTCCCAGCACCATTTATTGAATAAGGTGTCCTCTCCCCAATTTATGTTTTTGTATACTTTGTTGAAGATCAATTGTCTGTAAATATTTAGCTTTATTTCTGTATTCTGTATTCTGTTCAATTGGCCTATGTGCCTATTTTTATACCAGTACCATGCTGTTTTGGTAACTATAGCCAAGCAGTATAGTTTGAAGTCAGGTAATGTGATGCCTCCAGATTTGTTCTTTTTGCTTAGTCTTGCTTTGGCTATGTGGGCCCTTCTTTGGTTTCATATGAATTTTAATATTTTTTCTAGCTCTGTGAAGAATTATGATGGTACTTTGATGGGAATTGCATTGAATCTGTAGATTGCTTTGTGCAGTATGGTTATTTTCACAATATTGATTTTTTCCCGTCCATGAGCATGGGATGTGTTTCCATTTGTTTCTGTCACGTATGATCTCTTCCAGCAGTGTTTTGTAGTTTTCTTTATAGAGAGCTTTCACCTCCTTGGTTAAGTATTTTCCTAGTTTGTGTGTGTGTGTGTTGTTGTTGTTGCAGCTGTTGTAAGAGGGATTGAGTTCTTGATTTGATTCTCAGCTTGGTTGTTGTTGGTGTATAGCAGTGCTACTGATTTGTGTACATTGATTTTGTAACCTGAGATTTTACTGAATTCTTTAATGATATCTAGGAAACTTTTGAAGGAGTCTTTAGGGTTTACTAAGTGTACAATCATATCATCAGTGAACAGCAACAGTTTGACTTCCCCTTTTCCAATCTGGATGCTCTTTATTTCTTTCTCTTGCCTGATTGCTCTGTCTGGGACTTCCAGTACCATGTTGGATAGAAGTAGTGAAAATGGGGAGCTTTGTCTTGTTCCAGTTCTCAGGGGGAATGTTTTCAGGCTTTCCCCATTCAGTGTGATGTTGGCTGTGTGTTTGTCATATATAGCTTTTATTACTTTGAAGTAGGTCCCTTCTATGCTTATTTTGTTGAGGGTTTTTATCATAAAGGGATGATGGGCCAGGCGCGGTGGCTCACGCCTGTAATCCCAGCACTGTGGAAGGCCGAGGAGGGCGGATCACGAGCTCAGGAGATCGAGACCATCCTGGCTAACACGGTGAAACCCTGTCTCCACTAAAAATACAAAAAATTAGCCAGGCGTGGTGGCGGGTGTCTGTAGTCCCAGCTACTTGGGAGGCTGAGGCAGGAGAATGGTGTGAACCCGGGAGGAGGAGCTTGCAGTGAGCCGAGATCGCGCCACTGCACTCCAGCCTGGGTGACAGAGCGAGATTCCGTCTTAAAAAAAAAAAAAAAAAAAAGGATGATGGATTTTATCAAATGCTTTTTCTGCGTCTATTGAGATGATTATATGGTTTTTGTTTTTAATTCTGTTAATGTGGCTTATCAATATTTATTGACTTGTGTATGTTAAACCATCCCTCCATCCCTGGGATAAAACCCACTTGATCATGATGTATTATCTTTTTGATGTGCTGTTCGATTCTGTTCACTAGTATTTTATTGACGATTTTTGCATCTATCTTCATCAGGGATATTGGTCTGCAGCTTTCCTTTTTGGTTATATTATGACCTCATTTAACCTTAATTACCTCTTTAAAGGCCCTATTTCCACATACAGTCACATTCAAAGCTATTGCGGGTTAGAGTTGTAACCTATGGATTTTGGCAGGGTGGGAGGAATTCAGTCTATAGTACTCTTAATTCTTCTCCCTCCTGCAATGTTGTCAAGAAGTTAATGGACACTGAAAGAGACAGCAGGAAGTAAGAGTGAGATGGAAATTCAAAAGTTTGATAACCTAATCAACATCTAGATATACTGACATATATTGTATAATAAAACAGGAGGCATTCCCATAAAAAGTAGTAATAGGGGCTAGGGAGACAGTAGGGGATGAACTTTTGTCCAAACCCAATTGTATAATTTTTTCCCTCTAAGTCCATATCTATTTCTGCATCTATTTTTATAGATCAAATATCAGAAATCTGACTGATATGCCTAGGCTGGAAGAATAATTGGAAAATATATTAATTCCTTTATTGTGTACTTTGTTCAGTAACTACTCATTTAGCTAAGAGATTGTAATATAGTTGTTACAATG
The DNA here is from genome assembly GCF_000001405.40 of Homo sapiens. NCBI lineage: Eukaryota > Metazoa > Chordata > Mammalia > Primates > Hominidae > Homo > Homo sapiens. The sequence continues at coordinate 88,040,801 of NC_000005.10, forward strand.
GTATCTAAAAGTTTTTTAATTTCATAAACACATTTGAATTACACAATTCTGTCTTTTTCAACAGTGGGCCAAACTTAGCCACTAAATTTCTGTGCAAACTGTCCTAATTAGGGCACATATATTGTCATTGTTTATGAATTTTCTGGATACAAAGCTATAAAATCTTATTTTAAAAAAGTTCTGTACTCAAAATGGATTACAGACTTAAATATATGACTGAAAGCTATGAAACTATTAGAAGAAGACATAGGATAAATGTTTCATGACATCGTTCTGGACAAAGACTTTATGGTTAAAACCTCAAAAGCCCAGGCAGTAAAAGCAAAAATAGACTAATGTAATTACATCATACTGAAAAGTTTCTACACAGCAAAGAAAATAATCAACAGAATGTAGAGACAACTTACCTAATTGGAAAGAATAATTGCAAACTACACATCTGATAAGAGGTTAATGTCGAGAATTTATAAGGTACTCAATTCAATAGCAAAACAACAACAAAAAATAATCTGATTAAAAAATGGGCAAACTACCTCAATAGACATTTCCAAAAGAAGACATACAAATGGCCAACAAATATATTTTAAAATGCTCAACATCACTAATCATCAGGGAAAAGCAAATTAAAACCACAATGAGATACACCTTCCTCCAGTTAGAATGGCTATTATCAAAAAGACAAAAGATAACAAGTGTTGGCGAAAATGTGGAGAAAAAGAGACCCTTACATAGTGTTGGTAGAAATGTAAATTAGTGCAGCCATTGTAGAAAACAATATGCAGGTTTCTCAAAAAATTAAAAATAAAACCACCATATGATCCAGAAACCCCACTACTGGGTATATATCCAAAGGAAATGAAGTCAGTACATTAAAGAGATATCTGCATTCTGGTGTTTATTGCAGCATTATTTACAATAGTGAAGATACTGAATCAACCAAAATACTCAACAACAATTAAATGCAAAAATAAAATATGAAATATTTATACAAAAGAATATTATTCAGCAATTAAAAAAAAGAAAATCCTGTCATTTTTAAGAACATAGATGAACCTGGAAGACATTTGGTAAATGAAGTAAGCCAGACACAGAAAGACAAATTCCACATGATCTCAATCATGTGACATCTAAAAAAGTTACTCGTAGAAGTAGAGTGGAATAGTGGTGACCAGAGGCTGGGGAGACAAGGTAAGATGAAAGGAACAGGAAAAGTTAGTCAGTGGAGAAATAAATTCTGATGTTCTATTGCACAGCAGGCTGACTATAGCTAGCCATAATGTATTGCATATTTCAAAATAGCTAGAAGAGATGATTTTGAATGTTCTCACCACAAAGAAATGATAAATATTTGAGGTTAATTGCCCTGATTTGATCATTATGTATACATGTATCAAAGCATTAAATTGTACCTCATAAATATGTAAAGTTATTATATGCCAATTACAATAATATGAAACTTTAAAAAAGAGAAGATGACACACAGAGATGCAGGGAGAAAGCCATATGAAGAAAAAAATTACATTTCTTTCACCTAAATTCAGTAATTTGTTATCAGTTTGGCACACTTGTTCAATCTCTCTCTCACCACACAAGTACATGAACACATGCACACACACACACACACACACATTTTTTCCTGAACCATCTGAAAAATCAGTTGCCAGTATCATGATACCCCTAAGTATCATGGGGTACCCCTAAGTACCTCAACAGTCTCCTATTAGCAACAATACAATTACCACACCCAAAGAAATTTAAAATTAAACAAATAATGTCATCTATCATAGAGCTCATATTTAAATATCCCAAATTATCCTCAAAATGTTATTTATAGCTTTCTTTTTTTTTTTTTTTTTTACTTTAATCCAAGATCCAATCAAGGTTTATCCTTGGTGGCCTGTCAGTGAGCTAGGGGGAAGCATGGCCAATAGTTCCCTTCCGAAAAATGGGCTGTACCCTACCTTGACTTCCTAAGGAACCAGGGGTCCCAGGTCTCCGTGTAGGGAACTAGCATTTCTCATCACTTCTAAAAACAGCTAGCACTGATGCTCAGACTTGGCACTGATGGGAAAATTATTACCTCTCAGTCCCCCAACTAACACTGTCTTGGCCACAAAAGCCACAGAAGGGCAGGGTCTATCAGCTGGTACACAGCCAAACAGGGCCATCAACTGTTCTCTGGCCCAAACATACCTTCCACAGGCTGCAAGAAACTCAAGGAACTTTGCACTTGACTTCCCTGCCTATGAGTTCCAGCCTTCCCTAAGTGCCTCCACAGCATTCACCCAGAGCCTTCTACATGACACACCTCCACTAGACTGAATTCACTGATAGCAGTCGTGGGGGATTTTCCCTGTTCATCTTCGTATTGAGCCTAGTACAGTGCCTGACATACAATGGGCCCCAATGGATATTTGCTGAATGAGAAAATTACAAATGAAAATATACACATTTATTGTCTTCCAAATGACTCTATGAAGTGGTGTTCCTGCCAGTAACAACAGTGTACATACATAGGTATTTAAGAATTTTCATATATTACAAATATGCAGTTTTAACACCAGTGAATGTTTTCCATTCCAGCTCGCAGGGAATAAAATGCCAGTGTGTTTTCACTGCCTTCTTGCATATGTTGGTAGTAAAATATTCACGACTTGGAGAATTATGCAGTGTGTTTTCAACAGCAGCTTTTGAAAGCCACTTTTTCCATTAAAACTGTCAGTTTGGTAATATAGCCATGATTTCAAAGCAAAGGATCATTATGGCGCAAATCAAAGATAGATTACATATTTTATGTTTACATATTCTAGGACCTTCACGGTGTAAAGTTGTCGATTTTTTTTAGACTTTATGTAAGTCTCATCCATTTTGGAATTGGAATGCATCACCTTTATTATGAACCAAATAAAACCAGTGTATAATATATGTGGCATTGCTAGGTATTATACCTGCTCTATTCACTAGTAACTCCCAGGGAAAAGAATGGCAATGAGAACTGGAACAAGCCCTTCCCTGTTGCTTTATTTTTTAGCAAGTGGACCCCTGTGTATCTTCTAGCTTCCTTACATTTTGGAAAGATATGCAGATATCCCCAAAATGTCTGTAATTACAGCTAACTGCTAATCAAATAAAACAACTAACAAATTTATAACCAAGGGACCTTAAAAGTGAGAGGAAGCTCTAATGCTATTTTTTTAATTAAGAAAAAATACGCTAATATCTCTGACAATTATCTGCAATAGAAAACTATTATGGAGTTTGTGGTGAGAGGAAGGAAGAATTGCTTGGCAATAAGACAGTTTGTATCCTAATTACAGGTTTCAAAGCATACTTGGGCATGCTCAGTTCTCAGTGTAAAAAATAAGAGGAATTAAAGCTCTTAAAATAATAGTTTTTGTCCATAAGTGGTGAGATTATTCAGTAACACATGTAAGTGACAAGATGATAGCCTGTTTAAATACAGTTAGATAATATGCTTTGGAGATTTCCATCTTTAGCAATACGGTGGCAAATGAGGGCTGTATAAATTAAACTGATATTGAAACAGTCCTGTAGATTCAAATTATATGAGAACTACTTTATTTAAGTATTCCCTCTGGTTGCCACATCACCATATGGGGAAAAAATGAACTAAAGAAATGGAGAAAACCAGGTGTCATCCTGATTAAGAATGTGGGCTCTGGAATCACACAGCCTGAGTTCAAATCCTGGCACTGCCACTCACCAGCTCCTTAAAATTAGGCAATTAGCCTATCTGTGCCCTGTTATCCTTATCTCTACGTAGGAATAACAAATACTTAGTCTGGCTACACCAATAGAAGGTGAAAGAGTTAGCCACTTACTTTCCAGCTAGGATATAATGCTGTCCATATGGAATCATTACGGCTAGTGAGATATATCTCTGGTAGGAGACACTAAGAAACCCTTTGCTGCCTCTAGAAGAGACAGAGGTAGATAGCTCTACCTCTTTCTCTATCTTCTTGCTTTGAATGCAGAAGAGATGTCTTAAATTGTGGCAATCATTTTGCAATTTGAGGGAAACGCCTGGAGAATCCCAAATATACTGGCCCTGACATCACTGAGACACAGAGTAACTATCCATAATTGCCTATCTCAAAACTTCTTTTTATGTTAAAAAAAAAGCACCTATGTTTAATTTATTCTGCTATTCTAAGTTGAGCTCTCAGTTACTTGCAGCTGTAAGCATTTCTAACTGATACAATGAGATTAGTAATAGGACCTATTCCACAGAGTTTTTTATGAAGGTTAAATAAGATAACTCACAAAGAGCACTTAGCACGGTGCCCAACACATAGGGAGAATGGAGTAAACTACTATTAGCTGGTTGTGGTAGCAGCGGTAGCAGTGTCTTCATTATTATTATTATATTTTAAAACCTGCTGGGAAAAAGAATACACTTCCAAGAGGATATCTCTATGCGTACTGCCTTTTGAGTACAGCTATTCAAGGATTCAGGCATTCTTCAGGCTTAATTGGCTCCAAAGAGAATCTAGTACCCAAAAGAACTAAAGTGGCTGCCAAAGGGGCATTGCCTGCAACCATGGGTTACCTAAGGCATTGAAGAATCTGGGTTGGCACTAAAATCCATTGCAGAAGAAAGAAAAATAAGGTAAGGCAGAGCATAGCAATGTGGAGTTTTAAGAAATTTAGTTTATATAAAATATGGAGTTAAAGATTATGAAAATAAAATGCATATATTAAGAACAAGACAAATCAAATGCAATTACATATCAAGCAGAAAATGACATGTAATTTATTTTATTTTTAAAAGTGATTGATTGTATTTTAGAAAGTTACTTGTTCAGTAATTGTTAATTAAAGAACGTTCATCTTCCTCTCACCTTAGTGTTAAAAAAAGATAAATATTTGCTGCTTTACCACCACAAATGTAATGCCATGGTCCTGCCCACACAGTCCCATAATAACTGCTTCTGTTTTAAGTGTCCTGTACCAGTCTTTGCCACCAACTGGCAAGATACTAGATATAGATTTATTTCTAAATGCTTACAGTCAAGTTGATAATGTACAGTGTGAAATAAACAATATTATGTAATTCCCTAATTTATTGAGCTGGCCTTTCTGAAGCAGAATAGACCTACTTCCTGTCTTCTGGGTAAACACTGTGCAATTCAAAGCTCTGTGCCACACCGGCCCATTAGAGCTATCCCAATCTGCTGGCAGCACAACCATAACTAACACAGTGCCCCTTTTTCCTCCCTTCTTATTCATAGTGATGTAAGGATGAATTGTTAGCTTTAACTTTGAGTTTCCTGGCATTGGTCCATTTGTATCACCACCCTGGCGTTATTTAAGCACAGTGTGCTTCATATTTATGAGCTTACAAAATTTCTGGTCTCCTGCTTCTACCATTCTTAAGAACCATCAAGGGAAAAGGGTGTGACCATAAAAGCCAGTGTGTAACAAACCTCATTCAAATGCAGGCAGTGTATTGGGAACCTTAATTCTATTAGAGCATGGACAATGAATGTATTTGTGTTAGTTACTTTCCCACTTTGAGGTTAAACAAACCAGTGAATGGGACTCCGGGTGGCAGCAGAATGAGATACTACATTGGATGACGCAGGCAGACAAATGCCAGGGAGCATTTTAAAAAACAAGAAGTCTCTTTCCTGCCTTCCCATGACTTTTCAGCAATTTGGATTCTGTAAATGGAAATGAATAGCTCCAGTCCTCCAATATCTTCATTCAGCAGTTCGGTTCCGAGGTTCACGTGATGCATTTATCTTTGTGGCTGCTTCTAAGAAAATGTACCCCATTCAAAGAAGGTCTGAATTAACCTCAGTAAGTGTGTTCTGTCTACTCTTAAACTGATATCCCTTCCTGAATAAGGCCCTAATTTGCAATAGTTGCCAGACTGAATAACTTGCTGCAAACCTACCAATGCCACCACAAGACTTGTTTCCCACCAATGTGATTAACTGAATACAGTTGTGTTTAAAACACCATGTGCACACACACACACGCACACGCACACATAAGCACACATGCATGCCACACCTTTGATAATCGTGTAGGCTCCCACTCAAGTCCTCTATTTCAGCACCCATCTCCTGTTAATAATCAGCACTGACTCTGAGCAGGGGGAAAGGGGCTGCCACAAGCTGCCTCTACCACCTGCCCAAAGCCTTCACCTTACACACAGTTACTTAATACCACAGGTATCCAACATGATTTTTAAGTAAAACTGGAGGAATATGAACTCAACTTGCTTATTGTTCTGAAGATTAACATCTTTAGGTAGAGCATCTGATATAAGATAGGAAGACAAATACTAACGGGGCACTAGAAATGTGGGCAGCATTGCTTAACACACTCCATCATCAGCATCCTGCATTGTGGGCCTGAAGCTATGTTGACTTCAGTAAGCATCATTTAACAAGCATGAGAAAAGCACTAAGAATTAAACCCTTCCAAATCAGGCAGGTGTTGACTGATCAGACTACATACTGACAAGAGCAATATGAATAAACAGGTTAAATATGGATAACACGACATATGATTCTCCATGTGTCAGGGTTTAGAAAGCAATCCCTCAAGTCCAGTAGGAATTTCTGAAGATAAAATAGTCTACCTCTTGCTTCAGGAACCTCCCACCCAATACAAAGGGGTACTCATTGTTTTCTTACAATCTCACTGAAGAAGGGGAATATAATACAAATAACCTTTTATTAGTTCATTTCCACACTGCTATAAAGAAATACCCCAAACTGAGTAATTTATAAAGGAAAGAAGTTTAATTGACTCACCGTTCCACATGGCTGAGGAGGCCTCAGGAAACTTACAATCATGGCAGAAGGGGAAGCAAGCACCTTCTTCACAAGTTGGCAGGAAAGAAAGCTTCTGAAGTAGGAACTGTCAAACATTTATAAAACCATCAGATCTCATGAGAACTCATTCACTCTCATGAGAGTAGCATAGGGGAAACTGCCTCCATGATCCAATTACCTCCCTCCCTTGACACATGGGAATTACAGTTTGAGATGAGATTTGGTTGGGGACACAGAGCCAAATCGTATCAACCCTGACTGCCTTTTAGAGTAAAATTATTAAAGTGTTTTTTCTAAGACTCTTGGCCCTCACTTATTCTTACCTGGTTGGCATTCAATAAATATTTATGGTATTTCTAAAGTTTCAAAAAGTTCAGTAGCTATTTACATTAATAAAGCTCATTTTCTAAGGAAAGAAAAATTAACTATTTAGGTATTGTCACAGTTCAAGTCAAATTTTTACCCTTCAAGTTTACTAATTACATAAATATTATGAGGATAAAGAGAAAACACCAATTGAAATTTGTCTACAGATAGTCCCATGGAAATTCTTGCCACTTGTTTTTACCAATAACAAGTGTTTTTACCGCTTGTTTTTTCAAAAACTTGAACAAATGCATCATTTTCTCAATAGGCCTAAAAGAAATAAATATAAAAGTGAGGCAAGAAAACTGGGCACAGGTATGAAAATATATCTCTCAAGAAATAATACAGCCCTTGGTTTCATGTCAAACCTTAGGATTCCTAGTATTTTGTCATTTTTTTCAGTTTCTAAGGACTGTAGCAATAGAATGTTTGCTATTAGATCAATGAGTAGAAGAAACAGTGTAATGAGCTAGCTAGTAATTTTTAATCACATAGATTCAAGCTTAAAAATGAACTATGAGATACATGATAATTAAGATTGATTTAAAGTTTGTCATTCAATCCAGTTACTTTTAATAAGTTAGAAATGTATTTAGCAATAAACCCCACCAGGACAGACAATAAGATGACCCAAGTTGGTACTATTTTTCTTAAGTGAGTAAAGACCAGAGCTACAGAAGCCAGTGAACAAGAGCTGCATGACTCTTACTTAAAACACATCTTTGTCTGAAACATCCAGTGGGTTTAAACAACTGAGTTCTCCGGCTTCTGGCCTTGACTTATCAATCCAAGCCACAAACTTTTCCAGAAATGCTAATAAATATAAATCCACCTTTGTATAATGGTGGACAATATAGAAACAATAGTATTTAAACCAAGTTTAAACTAAAGCAGCTTATACCCACTTTATCAGAAGCAGCTTATACCCACTTTTTCAGAAGGCATTAAATAGAGAGTCTTTTCTACATGTCTTCTTCTACCTCCCACCTCAAAGAGAGCTGTTCTTCCAGACAGAAAGATCATATAATGTTCAGCTGCTGGCTATCTTCTAATTGCCAGTTTTACTACTGAGAATTTGGAGCCTATATCACAATTCTTCTGTGTCAGTGAATTAAAACCAGATGCCAATGCTTTCTCAGTATGACATATTTCTCTTACAGTTAGATTAATAAATGTAAATTTTAATGTCCTTTGGGACTGAGAGTGTATTTAGGCATCTCTCTTTTCATGATATGTCACAATAAAAACATGTACATTCAAGAAACTAATAATTTTTCATTACGATAGAAGTCCTAAACAATAAAATCTTCTTACATAGCATATAGGCAGAGCATGAACAGTGACAATGGCAGTTTTTGTTTTTCAACCAAGTCAACCAACAAAGGAAGGTCTGTACTTATCAGAATGAGAAAGTATTTTGGCCTCAGTTCCTATTTAGCCCTTGACCTCAAATGTGACTGACAAGTGGAGTGGTGATTTGGGAATGCGATCAGACACCTGTCCACTGAGGAATGGACTGAAGCCAACAGCTCATTACACAGAAAACTACTAAACAGCCATTGTAGAACAACGACTTTTCATCACCTGGGTCAGATACAAACCAATAACCTAGAGGTGAAAGGCTGTCCATCAAATTCTAGTTCCCACTTATCAGGTCCATTCAATTCCATCTATTCAGTTTTGAGGACTCTCTTCTATAGGTTTTTGCAAAAAAGGCCATGTGATTCAATAGAGTTCAGACTGTTATTATTTATGGGATGAACTGAAAGGATTATAGATTCTATCACAATTAAGTTCTCCCCTAATGAATCTGCAGGCTTTAAATAATCTTCTCAAAGTACACATCACTTTTCTTTTCTCCTTAGATACTCTTGTGAGAAGGCACACTGGGTGATTTCAATGGTGGATACTCTCAGCCCTGAAGTGGATTTGACATGTAGACGAGGCTGTTAAGCCCAAGACTGAAGTCCACACTAGTTGCAGCGTTCCTGATGTCTGAGCATGTATTCATGAATTAGCAACACAAGTGTTTAATTTTCATGCAAGTGCTTATGTGTTTACTAAAGATTAGCATTTTAATTAGTCTATATTTTTCTCTTAGACAATTGACACGAATACTATTTGCAGATACCTGACTAAGACGTTGCAAAGCATAAAAAAAAAAGCATCACACAGTTTTATTTAAAAATCCTAATTAGCTAGCCATTACTTTAGCATGAAACGAAATGACATGAAGTATAAGTTAGGTAACCACTGAATTTTTTATGGTTGGTTTAGTTTGAGGTTTTATTTTTTTACTTTATTTATTTATTGGGTTTTTTCTTCTCAAATATAGCTCTCCATAGAGTTCAGCAAAAGTCTTTTCTGTCAGATCTCTTTGTATTTAGTATTTGGGTCATGCTTGGAATATTAAGCATTTTGTCCTCCATTTTAAGTTCTTATAGTGTAACATTATGAGTGGCTTTAACTTAGCTAATTTCTGAGAGACATCAAAAGAAAATGACTGAGGTATTTCAGCTCTGTTTAAGGCTTTCTGCTACAATTGGGTAAAATCTTTATTATGAGTTTTTTTATGAAACACATGAAAAATGTAAAAGTTGTAAAAACATAACATAAGAATCTAGAAAGACAGAGGGGCATCACTTAAAAAGGCCCACAATAATGATTGTTGCATGAAATTTAGTCACTTAGGATTCCTCCTAAAGTCATTCCACAGATCCACATGCAGCAGTTCTGAGACAAAATGTGGTTCTCATGCGACTGCAGCAAATCAACTCACATATAACTCCACTTTCTTCCCTGTTATCAGGTCATTAAAATGGACAGATTTTAAAAATTCCTCTACTTTTTCATTTTTTCCAGGAACAATTTTTTCTTCTATTTCGTTCTTCATAGATATTTTTTCATTTTGTTCAATAATATTTTCCTAGTTTAACATATGTAGTCTTGTTTTGATTTACTCCTCCATACAATATTAGATTTGCACTTCCTTTCTAAATTATTTCTTGCAATTTTTCTAAAATAACATGCTTGATAATCATTACTTTATGCTTACAAATAATTTAGATGGCCTAAAATTTATGCAATGACTACAAATGTTTAATACAAAAATATTGAGATTGAAAAAATGTATCTTTAAGTTCATCAAACATAATTTTTGCTTGATATTATCTTTTTTTCCATGCAATGGTTAATTTGAAAGAAAAGAAAAAAGAAAGATGATTTTAAAAATTACCACCACAAAGATGAGCACAGAAGTCGCCTATGATGTAAATGTCATATAGACTTTTAAAAATGTATAATCGAATCTGATCATCATCATTGGCATGGTTATGACTAGCTGTCACACACATATGTTTTATGGTGTTATATATAATCATGTGGTGTTATTATAACATATAACATGACATCTGACAGACATTAAATGGCTCTCTGAAGAGAAGAGGGCAAGGAGACAAGAGACATCAAAATTTTCATGAAAAATAAAATAAAACAAAACAAATGTAAGGGCAAATGATTAAAAAGGGAACAGTTATTATGGTCTCTCTTTTCTTTTATAGAATCACTCAGAAAATAAAGCCTCCAAATTTGGGCTCTTCAATATTATTTTTAAGCACTTAAGTGTGTAGGGAAATCTTCAATCTTTATATGCAGACTCTGGCTATTTTACAAAATATAATGACCCCCTGTTTATCTGGCACTGATAGTGAATCAGGTTTCCATACAAGTGAAAGTATTTATTATACATGATACTTATTTTTATCTCTTCATGTTTTCAGCTATATCTATTTAATATTATCAATATTCCTTTGTCTAGTAGTCAATTTATTATTCCAATTTCAAATTCTAACAGGCTAGAAACCCAGATAACCTGACATTGAAATTATATGAGGTAATGAGGCATTATATTTGTCTTAAATATGTGAAATATAGTGTGAAGACATCTTGGCATCTGCATTTGCTTCTTAAAAGCTTTTTGGTTTGTTGTTGTTGTTGATTTTGGCTGCCTCTCTTGCTCATAGCCATATCTACCATTAGGTTTAGTAGCTGAAGGAGTGAGCTCTAGATAAAAGACATGTTGTTACTATATTAGAGCCTTCTAATGACTCTATAGGACAAAAAGAACTAGTATAGTCAAATTCAATACATTGTATTCTGACCACTTGATCTGGTCATTTTTAATCCCAAATTAGAGTCAACCACATTATGATCCTTTTTTATGCTACATTTTTAGATAATCATTGGTTAACAACAGATTCCTATCTTAGTATTAGAAACAAAGTCTAGCTCTGATTGAGGTCAACTCTTACCTGCTACTACGCAGTAACTTTCAAGACACTGAAGAACTGGAACATGGGGAGGAGCCAAGATGGCCAAATAGGAACAGCTCCGGTCTACAGCTCCCAGCCTGAGCGACGCAGAAGACGGGTGATTTCTGCATTTCCATCTGAGGTACCAGGTTCATCTCACTAGGGAATGCCAGACAGTGGGCGCAGGTCAGTGGGTGCGCGCACCGTGTGCGAGCCGAAGCAGGGCGAGGCATTACCTCACTCAGGAAGCGCAAGGGGTCAGGGAGTTCCCTTTCCTAGTCAAAGAAAGGGGTGACCGAAGGCACCTGGAAACTCAGGCCACTCCCACCCGAATACTGCGTTTTTCCGACCGGCTTAAAAAACGGCGCACCACGAGATTATAACCCGCACCTGGCTTGGAGGGTCCTACGCCCACGGAATCTCGCTGATTGCTAGCACAGCAGTCTGAGATCAAACTGCAAGGCCGCAGCGAGGCTGGGGGAGGGGCACCCGCCATTGCCCCGGCGTGCTTAGGTAAACAAAGCAGCCGGGAAGCTCGAATTGGGTGGAGCCCACCACAGCTCAAGGAGGCCTGCCTGCCTCTGTAGGCTCCACCTCTGGGGGCAGGGCACAGACAAACTAAAAGACAGCAGTAACCTCTGCAGACTTAAATGTCCCTGTCTGACAGCTTTGAAGAGAGCAGGGGTTCTCCCAGTACGCAGCCGGAGATCTGAGAAGGGGCAGACTGCCTCCTCAAGTGGGTGCCTGACCCCTGACCCCTGAGCAGCCTAACTGGGAGGCGCCCCCCAACAGGGGCACACTGACACCTCACACGGCAGGGTACTCCAACAGACCTGCAGCTGAGGGTCCTGTCTGTTAGAAGGAAAACTAACAAACAGAAAGGACATCCACACCAAAAACCCATCTGTATATCACCATCATCAAAGACCGAAAGTAGATAAAACCACAAAGATGGGGAAAAAACAGAACAGAAAAACTGGAAACTCTAAAAAGCAGAGCGCCTCTCCTCCTCCAAAGGAACGCAGTTCCTCACCAGCAATGGAACAAAGCTGGACGGAGAATGACTATGACAAGCTGAGAGAAGAAGGCTTCAGACGATCAAATTACTCTGAGCTACGGGAGGACATTCAAAGCAAAGGCAAAGAAGTTGAAAACTTTGAAAAAAATTTAGAAGAATGTATAACTAGAATAACCAATACAGAGAAGTGCTTAAAGGAGCTGATGGAGCTGAAAACCAAGGCTTGAGAACTACGTGAAGAATTCAGAAGCCTCAGGAGCCGATGCGATCAACTGGAAGAAAGGGTATCAGCAATGGAAGAGGAAATGAATGAAATGAAGCAAGAAGGGAAGTTTAGAGAAAAAAGAATAAAAAGAAATGAACAAAGCCTCCAAGAAATATGGGACTATGTGAAAAGGCCAAATCTACATCTGATTGGTGTACCTGAAAGTGATGGGGAGAATGGAACCAAGTTGGAAAACACTCTGCAGGATATTATCCAGGAGAACTTCCCCAATCTAGCAAGGCAGGCCAACATTCAGATTCAGGAAATACAGAGAACGCCACAAAGATACTCCTCGAGAAGAGCAACTCCAAGACACATAATTGTCACATTCACCAAAGTTGAAATGAAGGAAAAAATGTTAAGGGCAGCCAGAGAGAAAGATCGGTTTACCCTCAAAGGGAAGCCCATCAGACTAACAGCGGATCTCTCGGCAGAAACCCTACAAGCCAGAAGAGAGTGGGGGCCAATATTCAACATTCTTAAAGAAAAGAATTTTTAACCCAGAATTTCATATGCAGCCAAACTAAGCTTCATAAGTGAAGGAGAAATAAAATACTTTACAGACAAGCAAATGCTGAGAGATTTTGTCACCACCAGGCCTGCCCTAAAAGAGCTCCTCAAGGAAGCACTAAACATGGAAAGGAACAACCGGTAGCAGCCGCTGCAAAATCATGCCAAAATGTAAAGACCATCGAGACTAGGAATAAACTGCATCAACTAACGAGCAAAATAACCAGCTAACATCATAATGACAGGATCAAATTCACACATAACAATATTAACTTTAAATGTAAATGGACTAAATGCTCCAATTAAAAGACACAGACTGGCAAACTGGATAAAGAGTCAAGACCCATCAGTGTGCTGTATTCAGGAAACCCATCTCACGTGCAGAGACACACATAGGCTCAAAATAAAAGGATGGAGGAAAATCTACCAAGCAAATGGAAAACAAGAAAAGGCAGGGGTAGCAATCCTAGTTTCTGATAAAACAGACTTTAAACCAACAAAGATCAAAAGAGACAAAGAAGGCCATTACATAATGGTAAAGGGATCAATTCAACGAGAAGAGCTAACTATCCTAAATATATATGCACCCAACACAGGAGCACCCAGATTCATAAAGCAAGTCCTGAGTGACCTACAAAGAGACTTAGACTCCCACACATTAATAATGGGAGACTTTAACACCCCACTGTCAACATTAGACAGATCAACGAGACAGAAAGTCAACAAGGATACCCAAGAATTGAACTCAGCTCTGCACCAAGCGGACCTAATAATCTACAGAACTCTCCACCCCAAATCAACAGAATACACATTTTTTTCAGCACCACACCACACCTATTCCAAAATTGACCACATACTTGGAAGTAAACCTCTCCTCAGCAAATGTGAAAGAACAGAAATTATAACAAACTATCTCTCAGACCACAGTGCAATCAAACTAGAACTCAGGATTAAGAAGCTCACTCAAAACCACTCAACTACATGGAAACTGAACAACCTGCTCCTGAATGACTACTGGGTACATAACGAAATGAAGGCAGAAATAAAGATGTTCTTTGAAACCAACGAGAACAAAGACACAACATACCAGAATCTCTGGGATGCATTCAAAGCAGTGTGTAGAGGGAAATTTATAGCACTAAATGCCCACAAGAGAAAGCAGGAAAGATCCAAAATTGACACCCTAACATCAAAATTAAAAGAACTAGAAAAGCAAGAGCAAACACATTCAAAAGCTAGCAGAAGGCAAGAAATAACTAAAATCAGAGCAGAACTGAAGGAAATAGAGACATAAAAAACCCTTCAAAAAATTAATGAATCCAGAAGCTGGTTTTTTGAAAGGATCAACAAAATTGATAGACCGCTAGCAAGACTAATAAAGAAAAAAAGAGAGAAGAATCAAATAGATGCAATAAAAAATGATAAAGGGGATATCACCACTTATCCCACAGAAATACAAACTACCATCACAGAATACTACAAACACCTCTATGCAAATAAACCAGAAAATCTAGAAGAAATGGATCAATTCCTCGACACATACACTCTCCCAAGACTAAACCAGGAAGAAGTTGAATCTCTGAATAGACAAATAACAGGATCTGAAATTGTGGCAATAATCAATAGCTTACCAACCAAAAAGAGTCCAGGACCAGAAGGATTCACAGCCGAATTCTACCAGAGGTACAAGGAGGAACTGGTACCATTCCTTCTGAAACTATTCCAATCAATAGAAAAAGAGGGAAACCTCCCTAACTCATTTTATGAGGACAGCATCATTCTGATACCAAAGCCGGGCAGAGACACAACCAAAAAAGAGAATTTTAGACCAATATCCTTGATGAACATTGATGCAAAAATCCTCAATAAAATACTGGCAAAACGAATCCAGCAGCACATCAAAAAGCTTATCCACCATGATCAAGTGGGCTTCATCCCTGGGATACAAGGCTGGTTCAATATACACAAATCAATAAATGTAATCCAGCATATAAACAGAGCCAAAGACAAAAACCACATGATTATCTCAATAGATGCAGAAAAGGCCTTTGACAAAATTCAACAACCCTTCATGCTAAAAACTCTCAATAAATTAGTTATTGATGGGACGTATTTCAAAATAATAAGAGCTATTTATGACAAACCCACAGCCAATATCATACTGAATGGGCAAAAACTGGAAGCCTTCCCTTTGAAAACTGGCACAAGACAGGGATGCCCTCTCTCACCACTCCTATTCAACATAGTGTTGGAAGTTCTGGCCAGGGCAATTAGGCAGGAGAAGGAAATAAAGGGTATTCAATTAGGAAAAGAGGAAGTCAAATTGTCCCAGTTTGCAGACGACATGATTGTATATCTAGAAAACCCCATTGTCTCGGCCCAAAATCTCCTTAAGCCGATAAGCAACTTCAGCAAAGTCTCAGGATACAAAATCAATGTTCAAAAATCACAAGCATTCTTATACACCAACAACAGACAAACAGAGAGCCAAATCATGAGTGAACTCCCATTCACAATTGCTTCAAAGAGAAAAAAATACCTAGGAATCCAAGTTACAAGGGATGTGAAGGACCTCTTCAAGGAGAACTATAAACCACTGCTCAAGGAAATAAAAGAGGATACAAACAAATGGAAGAACATTCCATGCTCATGGGTAGGAAGACTCAATATCGTGAAAATGGCCATACTGCCCAAGGTAATTTACAGATTCAATGCCATCCCTATCAAGCTACCAATGCCTTTCTTCACAGAATTGGAAAAAACTACTTTAAAGTTCATATGGAACCAAACAAGAGCCTGCATCGCCAAGTCAATCCTAAGCCAAAAGAACAAAGCTGGAGGCATCACACTACCTGGCTTCAAACTATACTACAAGGCTACAGTAACCAAAACAGCATGGTACTGGTACCAAAACAGAGATATATATCAATGGAACAGAACAGAGCACTCAGAAATAACACCGCATATCTACAACTATCTGATCTTTGGCAAACCTGAGAAAAACAAGCAATGGGGAAAGGATTCCCTATTTAATAAATGGTGCTGGGAAAATTGGCTAGCCATATGTAGAAAGCTGAAACTGGATCCCTTCCTTACACCTTATACAAAAATCAATTCAAGATGGATTAAAGACTTAAATGTTAGACCTAAAACCATAAAAACCCTAGAAGAAAACCTAGGCATTACCATTCAGGACATAGGCATGGGCAAGGACTTCATGCCTAAAACACCAAAAGCAATGGCAACAAAAGACAAAATTGACAAATGGGAACTAATTAAACTAAAGAGCTTCTGCACAGCAAAAGAAACTACCATCAGACTGAACAGGCAACCTACAAAATGGGAGAAAATTTTCGCAACCTACTCATCTGACAAAGGGCTAATATCCAGAATCTACAATGAACTCAAACAAATTTACAAGAAAAAAACAAACAACCCCATCAAAAAGTGGGCAAAGGACATGAACAGATACTTCTCAAAAGAAGACATTTATGCAGCCAAAAAACACATGAAAAAATGCTCATCATCACTGGCCATCAGAGAAATGCAAATCAAAACCACAATGAGATACCATCTCACACCAGTTAGAATGGCGATCATTAAAGTCAGGAAACAACAGGTGCTGGAGAGGATGTGGAGGAATAGGAACACTTTTACACTGTTGGTGGGACTGTAAACTAGTTCAACCATTGTGGAAGTCAGTGTGGCGATTCCTCAGGGATCTAGAACTAGAAATACCATTTGACCCAGCCGTCCCATTACTGGGTATATATAAATCATGCTGCTATAAAGACACATGCACACGTATGTTTATTGTGGCATTATTCACAATAGCAAAGACTTGGAACAAACCCAAATGTCCAACAATGGTAGACTGGATTAAGAAAATGTGGCACATATACACCATGGAATACTATGCAGCCATAAAAAATGATGAGTTCATGTCCTTTGTAGGGACATGGATGAAATTGGAAATCATCATTCTCAGTAAACTATCGCAAGAACAAAAAACCAAACACCGCATATTCTTACTCATAGGTGGGAATTGAACAATGAGATCACATGGACACAGGAAGGGGAACATCACACTCTGGGGACTGTTGTGGGGTGGGGGGAGGGGGGATGGATAGCATTGGGAGATATACCTAATGCTAGATGACAAGTTAGTGGGTGCAGCGCACCAGCATGGCACATGTATACATATGTAACTAACCTGCACAATGTGCACATGTACCCTAAATCTTAAAGTATAATAATAAAAGAAAAAAAACTTAAAAAAAAAAAAAGAATTGGAACATGGGTCAGGAAAATGTAAGAGACACCACTAATGACAAAGTGTGGTGTGTGCAAACATTCTACACTTGCATATTACATTAGAAAAGTAATAGCCATATAATTTAAATATTTTGAACTATCTCTGCAAATGAATATCAAAGTGCCAGAGACTCAAAACCAAAACTCATATTAGACAGCCCTTATACCTAGGCATTAAGTGGTCAGTAAAGTAAAGCATAAATTATTATTTCTGTAAGTGCAAATAATTTATCATGTAAGATGACCCAGAGCAATTCGCAAGGTTCTTTGCAATGAAGTACTTACCTAGCAGGTAAAGAAATCTGCCAAATTTACATAAGAAACAAAATGAATAAATGTTTAGTAATTCAAAAACAACTAAGTGCCTTACATAATACTACTCTGTGACCAGACTAATTATGTGTCATCTTTCTGACTCAGTTTCTTCTTCCTGTGTCCAGTCAGGGCTATTTAGAAAGGGACAATGCTGGTATTGTCTACTTTGCATGGCTGCATGAGGAGTGATCATGACTGATACTATTTGAAAATGTTATGAATTTAATATAAGAAATGACATAATATATGCAAAAGGACTTTGAAAATGTGTTGACCATTATAGGAGTGATTAAAATCAGTGTAAAACAAATTATCTTAAATAAAATTTATTTTGATGCAGACATATGCCAAATGTAAAGATTTCACTGTTTTATAAAATTTATATGCATAAATTTTTAATTTCAAATGTTATAAAAGTTATTTTGTGCAGAAAAAATTTTCCCCCAAAAAAGTATTGATAAAAATTTGAAAATGAATCCTAGTAATTATAGCAATAAGAATAGAAAGGCAGTAAAATATATGTGAATATAAACTTCTTAATTATGCCTCCAAAACCTTCATGAGCTTCAAAAATGAATGCAATAATTTTAACAACTAAAAAGAAATTGCTTTTTTTCTCCCAAGATGGCTGATTAGCAACATCGGATGCCAGTTCTTCTCAGAAAGATTAAAGTTACAGGTGAATGGAATTATCTGAATAGAATACTGATGGAAGAAAGGCCCTGTTGTAATGCCCGCAGGAAGAAGCTAGGCATCAGAAAAGGAAAGCAGCAAGAGTCTGGCAGAGATGGAGCCCCGAGGAACTTGAAGTCCCATGGAAAGGGTACATGGGTGTGGCGGCTTCTCTGATGCCCTCACCCCTGCAACAATCTGCTGACCCCCAAAGTGTTGGGAAGCCCCTCTACTTTTGAAACCCTGGGCAAAACTGTTGGCGGTGACTTGGGAACTTCCCTAGGACAGAGGACCAGGTGACTATCATGCACAAGGCACCTGTACTTCCCTCAGGCCTGAATTGAGATGATGGGCACCATACTGGTTGTGTACCCTGGGTGGTTACTGCCCTGCTATTATTAAAAAGTCAGCATTGACAGATTTTGGCAAAAATGTGGAGAAAAGGGAATGCTTATATACTGTCAGCAGGAATGTAAATTAGTACAACCCCTGTGGAAAACAGTATGAGGATTTCTCAAATAACTAAAAATAGAACTACTATTCAACCTCACAATCCCATTACTAGGTATCTACCCAAAGAAAAAGAAACCATTTTATCAAAAAGACATTTTCATTCATATTTTTATTGCAGCACCATTCACAATAGCAAAGACATGAAATCAACCTGAGTGTCCATCAACAACTGACTGTATGAAGAAAATGTGTTTCATATACACTGTGGCATACTATGCAGCCATAAAAAAAGAATGAAGTCATGTCCTTTACAGCAACGTGGATGAAGCTGGAGGCCATTATTCTAAGTGAAATAACTCAAAATCAGAAAATCACATACCACATGGTTTCACTTATAAGTGGGGGCTATACAATGGGTACTCATGGACATAGGAAGTAAAATAATAAACACTTGGGGACTCCAAGAGAGGGGTAGGTGGGAGGGGGTGAGGGTTGAGAAACTACCTATGTTCTAAGTCCCTAAACACCATGTTCATTATTTGGTTAATGGGTTCACTAGAAGCCCAAACCTCAGCGTTATGCAATACGCTGATGTAATGAAGCTGCACAAGTACATGCTGAATCGAAAATAAAAATGAAAAAGAAACTACTTCCAATGAAAAAAATAAAGAGGATCTTCATGAAAATAAGATAATCAAATTTCTGTTTCCACCCAGAACATATGAATTCTTCCAGTGCATATTTATTCTGCAAAATTTGCTACATGTCCCTTTCCACTGACTCCTGCTCATTCTTCAGGTCTCAAAATAGTTATCACTCCCAAAGGAAACCTTCCCTAGGGTGCCCCTCTAAGAACAGGCTGCATTTCTACCATGGAATTTCATGCATCTTAAGTCAATTGCGTCTTTCTTTAACCGAAAAGACTGCAGAAGATCTATAAAGCCTGAGTTCTTATCTGTCTTGTTAGTGGTGCCAAATAAATACATGCTGAATTAAACAACGGACTCTGTGCTAGGAAATGCAAGTGCAAATATAGCATGGTTCCTGACCTCAGGGAGCTCCCAAACCAGTGAAGGGGGCCCACTCTCAAATGGACAATGGGAACACCCACGGAAAGTGAAATAAAAGAGGGTGTCCTGGTGCTGGGAGAGCAGATCACAAGGAAGCCTGTCTGGACAGAGTAATGGAGTAGAGAGAAGAGAGCACAATTAGCAAGTCACAGAACCCATCTGGACTATATTCTCCTTGTAAGAGAATAGAAAATTTTAAATTAAAATCATAATTTAAAAATTAAATGATTAAATTATTAATCATTTAATTTAATCTCCTCTAGAAAATTTTAAATTAAAATCATAAATGTCAGCATAAATATTTAGAATTGAGTTACCTGAAAACTGAGTTTCCAAAAAAAGATTCAAGATGGCTGACTCAAGACATTATACACCCACCTTGTCCAGAAAGAAGAGTCAACAGAGAATAACAGGGAGAGAACCTAGAGTCTAACAGAGAACTCACAGAAAACACCTGAAGCATAGAAGTCAAAGAAAGCAAGTGGCCAGCTTAGCCAAGATCAGCTGGGAGCCCCAAAGGGCTCAAAATTGCAAAAAAAGGTAAGTGAGAGCTTTGGAGTTTCACATCCTGGCCACAGACTGCTCCAATCTAAACACAGAAGAGCTTCTCTACCCACACAGACCTTGACACTAATGTGGCTGGTGATTTAGAGACCCCATAAGGGCATTGCACCAGACAGGAAACTCCTACAGGGCCATGCCCACACAGACCTGAATAGTTGCAACAGAGCATCATTTGGGGAGCATAGCTGTCATAGGACTGAATTCTGCTTTGAGGGCAACAGCTCCATATCTCCACGGTTCAGAATTTCCCACTTATGTTCATCACTGTCCACCTGGAGGGCTGCAGTGGCAGAGCACTGGCTGAATCCAAAGATGCTGCAAGGTCCTCAATACTCTAGGCCACAGGAAGTGCCATTCCCCAGGGAAAGGATGGTGCAGTGCAACAAAAGGCAGCCTCTATGATGAAGTAAACCAAACTTCATTCTTTCCAGAGGCCAAGAGCTCCCTTTCTGGGAGAAAGAAGTGGCTCTGCCACCAGCAGTGGCACAAACTCTGAGCTCCACTGTGCAAGCAAAGATTAATATGCCCTTCCACTGGTGGAGTGGCCCCTGTGCTTGAGATCTCACATAGAGCTCTTCCCACTCTGCATGCCCACCCCTGCTTCTACAAGATACCAGGGCAGGTGAACCAAAAGTCTACTTGTCTGGAGCAGTAAGTGGTAACTGTAACCCCATAGATGACATGAACGCCGTGCTTGGCTTGCATAAAATGTTAGAGCCCTTCCTCCCTCTGAGTGATGCTGTGGCTCTGATGCCATGGAGAATAGGAGAGTCTGGGAGCAGTGTATCTGGAGCTGTTGAGAGTGACCATGAACTGCAGCCACCGCCAACACCAATCTATATCACTCAAGACCCAGAAGGTCATCCCATTAGTGCTACAGCCATTACCCATACCACACCAGCTGCCCAGGAACCTAAGGACATGCTTACCCACCTAGCCCACCATTTCCATTACCAGCATTCAAGCAAGCCACCTGGAGACTTAAGAATCAGCTGCCAAAACAGGTGCCAACATATGCCACCCTGGGGCACAAAGATAGGCATGCTCAGCCCACTGCTGCCAACACAGGGGCCTAAAGTCTGGCCCACTTGACTTCCAAGTCCCCAGCACAACTTCACTACAGCCTGTGCTAATATGTGCACCCTAACCCTCTGAGGAAATCACAGAAAGTACTAACACCATTTACAGCCAAATAATCCATACAGAGACTACACTATTATATGCATCCAGAATCAAAGCCAAGGTGCCCTACCCAACCAACACCACAGATATATCTTCAGGAAAAAGTCCTCCCCACAAGTAATTTCAAAAATAGGAAAAACTGATTCACAGATGCACAGAAATCAACAAAAGGGCACAGGAAACATGAAAAACAAGTCAATATGACAAAGAAAGAACACATAATTCTCCAGCAATAGATCTTGATCAAAAAGAATCACCAAAATTCCAGATGAATAATTCAAAATATTGATTTTAAAGAAGCTCAGTGAGATACAAAAGAATTCTGAGATGAATACAAAGAAATCAGAAAAACACTTCAGTATATAAATAAGAACTGTACCAAAGACATAGATAACTTTAAAAAGAACCAGATAGAAATTCTAGAACTGAACAAATAATTGAAGAAAATACAAAATATATTTGAAAGCTTCAACAATGGAATAGATCAGGCAGAAGAAAGAATATCAGAACTTAAAGACAGGCCTTTTGAAATAACCCAGTCAGATAAAAAGAAAGAAAAAAAACAAAAAAGAATAAGCAAAGCCTTCATGACATTTGAGACAACATAAAGTGACCAAATACACAAATTATTGGTATTCTCAAGGCAAAGAGAAAACAAAAGGATTAGAAAATCAATTTAACAAAATAATAAATGAAAAATTCCCAAGTCTGGCAAGAGATTTAGACACTCAGATGCAGGAGACTCAATGATCAATGGGCAGATACAATGAAAAATGGTCTCCATGGGACGTTATTATCAGACCATCTAAAGTCAATGATAAGGAATAAATTCTAAAAACAGCAAGAGAAAGGTGCCTAGTCACCTATGAAGGAAACCGCATTAGATTCACAGTGGATTTCTCAGCAGAAAGTTTAAAGACCAGAAGAGAACGGGATGATATTTTTAAAGTGCTGAAAGAAAAAATCTCACAGCCAAGAAGCCAAGAATACTTTAACCAACACAATTATATTTTATAAATGAAGAAGTAAAGTCTTTCCCAGACAAGCAAATGCTGAGGCAATTTATTATAAGAAATGCTTAAAGAATAAACCATAAGAGAAAAATAAGGGAATAAACAATATATAAAACAATCAGAAAACAATTTACAATGTGACAGAAACACAGCCTCATATATCAATAATAACCTTGAACATAAATGAATTAAATTCTCCACTTAGAAGACACAGAATGGCTGAATTGATTTTTTTAAAAAGCATGATCCAACTATGTACTGTTTATAAGAAACTCACCTTAGCAGTAAAGACACATATAAACTGAAAGTGAAGGAATGGAAAAAGCTATTACATGCAAAAGGAACCCAAAAGTCAGCAGGAGTACTATGTACTGTTTATAAGAAACTCACCTTAGCAGTAAAGACACATATAAACTGAAAGTGAAGGAATGGAAAAAGTTATTACATGCAAAAGGAACCCAAAAGTCAGCAGGAGTAGCTATACTTATATCAGATAAAAAGACTTTATCCCAAGAACAATTAAAAAAAGACAAATAAGATGACTATACAATGATAAACAGATCAATCCAGCAAGAATATTTAACAATTCTAAACATATATACATCCAACACTGGAGCACCCAGATTCATAAAACAAATATTCTAGATCTAAAGAAAGAAATAAACCTCAATACAATAATAGTGGGGGACTCAACATTCCACTCTCAGCATTAAACAGATCAGCTAGACAGAAAATCAACAAAGAAACATTGAATTTAAACTGGACTTTAGACCAAA
Organism: Homo sapiens; assembly: GCF_000001405.40. Taxonomy (NCBI): domain Eukaryota; kingdom Metazoa; phylum Chordata; class Mammalia; order Primates; family Hominidae; genus Homo; species Homo sapiens. Next base: position 88,064,438 of record NC_000005.10, read on the forward strand.
TGGCCCTAACAGACATTTACAGAACACTCTATCCAACAACTACAGAATGTACATTTTTTTTTCCATCAACACTTGAAACATTCTGCAGGATGTACCACATATTAGGCCACATAAAAAGTCTCAGAAAAATTTTTAAAATTTGAAATCATATTAAGTGTGTTCTCAGACCACAATGGAATAAAACTAGAAATCAATAGCAAAAGGAACTTTGGAAACTATACAAATACATAAAAATTAAACAACTTTGCTCCTGAATGATTATTGGATCAATAAAAAATTAAGATGGAATTCAAAAAATTTCTTGAAACAAATGAAAATGGAACACAACATACTAAGAACTGTGAGATACAGCAAAAGTAGTGCTAAGAGGGAAGTTTATAGCAATAAATGCCTACATCAAAAGAGTGTAAAAATTCCAAATTAGCAATCCAACAATGCACTTCAAAGACCCAGAAAAGCAAGAATAAACCAAACCCAACATTAGCAGGAGAAAATAAAGAACAAGGGTCATAGTAGAGCTAAATGAAATTGAGACCAAAAAGCAATACAAAGGATCAACGATATGAAAAATCGTTCTTTTGAAAATATAAAAACAACTGGTAACTACTAACTAGACTAACCAGGAAGAGAGAAGACCAAATAAACAAAATCAGAAAGGAAAAAGGAGATATTACAACTGATATCACAGAAATACAAAAGATCCTCAGAGACTAACATGAACACCTACATGCTGACAAAATGAAAAGCCTTGAGGAAATAGATAAGTTTCCGAAAACATACATCCTACTAGGATCAAAACAGGAAGAAATGAAAAACCTGAACAGACGAATAACTGAGATTGAATCAGTAATATAAAGTCTCCCAAAAAAGAAAATCTTAAGACCAGATGGATTAACAGCTAAATTCTGCCAAATGTACAAAGAAGAACTATTATCAATCTTCCTGAAACTATTCCAAAAAATTGAAAAGGAGAGTTCTCCCTAACTCATTCTATAAGCCCAGCATCACCTTGATACCAAAACCAAGCAAGGAAACAACAACAACAAAAAAGAAAACTACAGGTCAATGCCTCTGATGAACATAGGCACAAAAATCCTCCTACCAGACTGAATCTAACAGCACATCAAAAAGATGGTACAATAAAATCAAGTGATCAAGTGGTACTTATCCAAGGGATCAAGAATGCTTCAACACATGCAAATTGTAAATATAATACATTAGATCAACAGAATGAAGGACAAAAGCCATATGATCATCTTAATAGATGCAGAAAAAGCATTTGGTAAAATTCCACATCCCTTCATGATACAAAGTCTCAACCAACTAGGCATAGAAACAACATGTCTCAACATAATAAAGGCCATATATGACAAACCCGCAGGTAACATCATACTGAATAGGGAAAAGTTGAAAGCCTGTCCTCTAAAACCTAGAAAAAGACAAGCATGCCCACTTTCACTACTCCTATTCACCATAGTACCGGATGTTCTAGCCAAAGAAATCAGGAAAGACAAAGAAATAAAAGGCATTTACATAGGGAAAAGAGAAAGTCAAATTGTCCTCTTTGCTGATGAAATGATCTTATGCCTAGAGAAACCTGAAGACTTCACCAAAATTATTTTAGATTTAATAAATGAATTCCATAGTTTCAGGATACAAAATCAATGTGCAAAAATCAGTAGCGTTTTTATACACCAATAATGATCTTGCTGAGAAAGAAAACAAGAAGAAAATCCTAGTAATAATAGCTACCAAGAAATAAAATACCTTGGAATGCATTCAACAAAGAAAGTTAAACATCTCTACAAAGAAACTATAAAACACTGATGAAAGAAATGAAGATGACACAAAGAAATTGAAAAACATTCCATGCTAATGGATTGGATGAATTAATTTTCTTAAAATGACTATATTGCCCAAAGCCATCTACAGACCCAATGCAATTGCTATTGAAATACCAATGATATTTTTCACAGAATTAGAAGAACAATCCTAAAATTCATGTGGAATGAAATACAGAACCTGAATAGCCAAAGCAATCATCAGCAAAGAGAACAAAGCTAGAGAGGCATAACATTACCTGACTTCAAAATATATTACAAGGCTATAATAACCAAAACAGCGTGATACTAGTATAAAAATAGATGTATAGACTAATGGAACAGAATAGAGAAGCCAGAAATAGAGCCACAAATTTACAGTCAACTGATCTTTAATAAAGCCAACAAGAACTTACATTCGTAAAAAAACACACCCTTCAATAAATGCTGCTGGGAAAACTGGACAGCCAAATACAGGGTAATGAAACTAGACCCCTATTTTCTCACTATATACAAACATTGACTCAAAATGTATTAAAGTCTTAAATGTAAGTCCTGAAACCACAAAAGTATTAGAAAAAATCTAGGGAATCAGCCAGGCATGGTGGCTCACGCCTGTAATCCCAGCACTTTGGGAGGCTGAGGTAGGGCAGATCACAAGGTCGGGAGTTCAAGACCAGCCTGGCCAATATGGTGAAACCCTGTCTCTACTAAAAATACAAAAATTAGCCGGGCGTGGTGATGCATGCCTGTAGTCCCAGCTACTTGGGAGGCTGAGGCAGGAGAATCTCTTGAACCCGGGAGGCAGAGGTTGCCAAGATCACACCACTGACTCCAGCCTGGGTGACAGAGCAAGATTCTGTCAAAAAATAAAATAAAATAAAATAAAACTAGGGAAAAGTCTTCTACATATTGATCTAGGCAAATTCCTTATGACTAAGACCTCAAAATCACAGGCAACTTAAACAAAGAGAAGCAAGTGGGAATTAAACCAAAAAGCTTCTTCACAGCAAAAGAAATAACAGAGTGAAGAGATAACCTGTTGTATGAGAGAAAATTTTTGTAAACACTTAATTTGACAGGAGACTAATATTTAGAGTATACAATGAACTCAAACAACTCAATGGGAAGACAAATAATCCCATTAAAAAGTGAGCAAAAGATATGAATAGATACTTCTCATAAGAAGACATACAGAAGGCCAACAGTTTTATCACAAAATGTTTGACATCATTAATCATCAGAGAAATGCAAATCAAAACCACAATGAGATATCATTTTACCCCAGTAAGTATGGCTATTTTTAAAAAGACAAAAAATAACATATGTTGGTGAGGATGTGAAGAAAAGGGAATTCATACACTATTGGTAGGTATATGAACTAGTACAAACACTATGGAAAACAATATGGAGATTCCTCAAAAATCTAAAAATAGAATTACCACTTGATCTAGTAATCCCACGACTGGGTACCTACCCAAAAGGAAATAGGTGAATATATCAAAGAAGTAACCACACTCACACATTTATTGCAGCTCTATTCACAGTAGCAAAGATATGGAATCAATCTAAATGTTCATCAATAGATAAAGAAAATATTTTATATATATATATATATACACACACACACACACACACAATGAAATACTATTCACCAATAAAATAGAATGAAATCATGTCATTTACAGAAATATGGATGAAACTAGAGGTCATTATCTTAAGAGATACAAGCCAGGTACAAAAAGACAAATATTGGACAGGCCATGGCGGCTCACATCTGTAATCCCAGCACTTTGCAAGGCCAAGGCAGGCAGATGGCTTGAGGTCAGGAATTTGAGACCAGCCTGGCCGACATGGCGAAGCCCTGTCTCTAATGAAAATACAAAAATTAGGCGAGGAACGGTGGCTCACGCCTGTAATCCTAAAACTTTGGTAGGCTGAGGCAGGCAGATCACCTGAGGTCAGAAGTTCAAGACCTGCCTGGCCAACATGGTGAAACCCCGTCTCTACTTAAAATACAAAAATTAGGTTGGCATGGTAGTGCATGCCTGTAATCCCGGCTACTCAAGAGGCTGAGGCAGGAGAATCGCTTGAACCCAGGATGGGGAGGTTGCAGTGAACCAAGATCACACCACTGTACTCCAGCCTGGGCAATAAAGTATGACTCTGTCTCAAAAAAGAAAAAAAATAATACATATATATTTATATATATATATATATATATATATATAAAAATGTGTGTATATATATTTTATATATATATGTGTATATATATTATACACACACACACACACACACATATTAGCTAGGCATAGTGGCACACACCTGTAGTCCCAGCTACTTGGGTGGCTGAGGCAGGAGAATCACTTGAACAAAGGAGGCGGAGGTTGCAGTGAGCAAAGATGGCACCACTGCACTCCAGCCTGGGCGACAGAGTGAGGTTCTGTCTCAAAAAAAAAAAAAAAGGCAAATATTGCATGTTCTCACTTATATGTGGGAAATAAAAAATTGATCACACAAAGGTAGAAAGTGAAAAGATAGATAACAGAGACTGGGAATGGTGAATTGAGAGGAAAGGGAAGGATGAAAAGACATGGATTAAAAGATACAAATATATGTAAGGTGGAAGGAATAAACTCAATGTTTGATAGCAGAGTAGGGTGATTATACTTCACGAATAGGTACTGTACTCAGGTGATGGACATGCTAAATACCCTGACTTAATCACTATGCCTTATATAGATGTAACAAAACTTCAAATGTACCCCATAAATTTGTACAAATTTTAAAAAATAAAAATAATACTGAGGGGGGTAGCCAAGATGGCTGATTAGAAGCAGCTAGTGTACATGACTCTCACACAAAAGAATGAAAGGGAATGAATGTAAATACAGCATCTTCAACTGACACATCCAGGTACATGCATTGGAACTAATGCAAGGAAACAACTCGACCCAAGAGAATGGAGAAAAGCAAGGCAGGATGACGGCCCACCCGGGAGTGACACAGAGCCAGGGGAACCTCCCCCTGCCCCCACCAGGGATGCAGTGAGTATGAGTGAGCAACCCCAAAAAACCATGCTTCTCTCATAGATCTTTGCAACCCTCAGGTCAGGAGCTCCCCTCATGAACCCACTCCACCAGGGCCTTCAGTCTAACAAACAGAGCTACATGGAGCCACACAGGTACACATGGAGACCCAGAAGCCTTAGATACCTGGGTTTTTCAGGCTTCCCAGCAAAAATAGCTGCCGCTCCAGCAAAGCAGGAGATTAGACCCTGTACATACCTCTAGGAAAGGGGCTGAATCCAGGGCACTGATCAGCAACAGTCTGTAGTCCCTACTTCCAAGGTACCTCACAGGATAAGATGCACTGGCTTGGAATTTCAGCCAGCCACCTGTAGCAGCATTGTACCTACCTGAAAGGAGGCTCCCATGGAAAGTGGTGGGCCTCCATCTTTGCTGTTTGAGTGACTTAGCCGTCCCAGCCTTTGGGCTTTGGAGAGTCCAAGCTGACCGGGGCGGAAGGAGTACCTGAGCACAGCACAGCTGTTCTACAAAAAAAGTGGTCAGGCTTCTTTTTCAAGTGGGTCCTCAATCCTGTTCCTCCTAACTGGGAGGGACCTCCCAACCAGGGTCTCCAGCCACCCTCCCCACTTTTTTCTGGCTGACAAGGATTTGAAACCTCTCTAGGATGGAGCTCCCAAAGACAGGGGTGGGCCACCGTTTTTGCTGTTTGGGTGACTTAGCCATTCCACTCTTCAGGCTTTGAAGAGTCTTGAGGTGACCAGAGGCTGAAGTGGATCCCCAACACAGCACAGCTGCTCCACTAAAAGCATGGCCATTCTGTTTTATTAAGCAGATCCCCAATCGCATTTCTCCTCACTGGGTGAGGCCTCCCAACTGGAGTCTGTAGCCACCTCCTACAGGTGCATTGGGACTGGCAAAAGAGTCAAACCTCCATAGAACAGAGCTCCTAGAGAGAGGAGCAGGCCACCATCTTTGCTGTTTTGCAGCCTTCGCTGTTGGTACCTCCAGGTACTAGAAAATCTGAGGTGACTATGGACTGGAGTGAGTTCCCAGCATACTGCAGCAGCCCTAAGGAAAAGTGACCAGACTGTTAACATGGGTGCCCATTCCCGTATCTCTTCACTGGGTAAGTTCTCCAGGCCTGGGCCTCCAGCCACCCCTCACTGAGAGTATCAAGCCAGTAAGCAGCTCAGCAACTCCCTGAACAGAGCCCCCAGGGGCAACTGAAAGCCTCTCTGCCACTACTTCTGCAGTGAAACTGGCCTTGCTACTCTCAGACTAATGAAGGAGCAAAGACCCTAAATGCCTTATCCACACCTTCAACAAGCTGCAGCAGACCCAAACAGAGGAGGTCAGTCCATCTTCCACGGGTCCCATCCACCCCCACTGCTTCTCACCAAACAAGGAACCCCCGACTTGCACCCACAGCACAGACCCTCCATCCTGGCCCAATTGCACTTAATTATTGCTGACCTGCATCCCTCTGGGGTGGAGCCCCTAGGAGACAAGCAAAAGACCCTTGGCTACAACCACTACTAAGGTCCCTTCTTCTACTCTCTCCAAGTTGGGAAAGGAACATAAATACTGAGATCACCCCAAAACTGCAGTGGGCAGCCCAGGAATGCCAAGCCAGAATCTACAGCCAGCAGTCAAGATGGAGAGGAACCCACGCTTTCAGAGCATTGAGAGGAAACACAGTTGCAACTCTGAGAAAACATAGAGGAAGCATATGACTGAGCAAGAGTCTACCAACCAACCAATATATCTAAGTGCCACCTACTGAATCACACTTCAAAGCTTCAATACAAAATTACCTTACTAACCTACCCCCTCTGAAACCAAAGACAAGAAGTCAGCTTCAAATAAAGACACTGCACAAAGCTGCAGCCCTGTGAAAACATCCAGAAAAGAACTCTACTGACTGTACTCAATATACACTGCAGTTAAATGAACACCCAAATGTAGAGATAGGAAAGATTCAATGCAAGAACTTTGGTACCTCAAATGGCCTGTTCTGTGTCCTCCAAACAACTGCACGAATTCTCCAGTAAGAGTTCTTAATCAGACTGAGTTGGCTGAAATGACAGAAATATAACTCAGAATATGGATAGGAATAAAAATCATTAAGATTCAGGAGGATAGAAAAACCCAGTCCAAGGAAACTGAGAATCACAGGAAAGCCATACAGGAGCTAAAGGACAAAATAGCCAATATATTAAAAAATAAAACAAAAAAACACTAATGTGTCTGACAGAACTGAATAACACAATACAATAATTTCACAATGCAGTCACAAGTATTACCAACAGAATAAACCAAGCTGAGAAGTAAAATTCAGAATTTTAAGACTAGCTCTCTGAAATAAGACTGTCAGACAAAAATCAAATAAAAAGAATAAGAAGGAATGAGCAAAACCTCCAAGAAGTATGAGATCATGTAAAGAGGCCAAATCTACAAATCACTGGCATGCCTGAAATGGTGGGCAAGAAAGCAAACAACCTGGAAAACATACTTCAGGATATTGTTCATGACAACTTCCCCAACCTTGCTAGAGAGGCCAGCAGTCAAATTCAGGAAATACAGAGACTCCTGCAAGATTCTGCACAAGGATTATCCCCAAGACTCTAATCATCAGATTTTCCAAGGTCAAAATGAAAGAAAGAATATTAAAGGCAGCTAAAGAGAAAGGTGAGGTCACCTACAAAGGGAACCCCATCAGGCTAACAGTGGGACCTCTGAGCTGAAGCTCTACAAGCCAGAAGAGATTCAGGGCCTATATTCAATATTCTTAAAGAAAAAAATCTTCAACCAAGAATTTCATATCCAGCTGTATTAGTCCATTTTCACACTGCTGATAAAGACTTACCCAAAACTGGGTAATTTATAAGGAAAAACAGGTTTAGTGGACTGACAGTTCCATGTGGCTGGGGAGGCCTCACAATCATGGCATAAGGTGAAAGGCATGTCTCACATGGTGGCAAACAAGGGAAGAGAACTTGTGCAGGGAAACTCCCCTTTATAAAACCATCAGATTTCATGAGACTTATTCACTATCATGAGAACAGCACAGGAAAAAAGACCTGCCCCATGATTCAATTACCTCCCACCAAGTCCCTCCCACAACATGTAGGAATTATGGGAGCTAAAATTTAAGATGAGATTTGAGTGGGGACACAGCCAAACCATATCACCACGCTAAACTAAGCTTCCTAAGCAAAGGAGAAATAGGATCCATTTAAGATAAACAAATGTTGAGGGAGTTTTTACCACCAGACCTACCTTGCAAGAGATCTTGAAAGGAGCACTAAATATAGAAAAAAAAGACTGTTACCAGCTAATACAAAAACACACTTAAATACACAGACCAGTGACACTATGAAGCAAAAACACAAGCAAGATAACATAATAACCAGCTGACAACACATGACAGGATCAAATCCACACATATCAATACTAACCTTGAATGTAAATGGCCTAAGTGCCCCACTTAAAAGGCACAAAGTGGCAAGCTGGATAAAAAAGCAAGACCCAATGGTATGCTGTATTCAAGAAACCTGTCTCACATGTAATGACACCTATAGACTCAAAATAAAGGGATGGAGGAAAATTTACCAAGCAAATGGAAAACAGAAAAAAGCAGGAGTTGCAATTCTAATTTCAGACAAAGCAGACTTCAAAGCAACAAAGATCAAAAAAGACAAAGAAGGGCATTACATAATGGTAAAGGGTTAAATTCAATAAGAAGAGTTAACTATCCTAAATATGTATGCACCCAACACAGAAACACCCAGGTTCATAAGCAAGTTCTTGGTGACCTACAAAGAGACATCAACTCCCACACAATAATATAGGAGACTTCAACATTCCACTGACAGTATTAGACAGATCATCAAGGCAGAACATTAACAAAGATATTCAGGACCTCATATGGTTAGGCTGTATCCCCACCCAAATCTCATCTTGAGTTTTAGCTCCTATAATCCCCATGTGTCATGGGAGACACCTGGTGGGAGGTAATTGAATCATGGAGGTAGGTTTTCCCATGCTGTTCTCATGATAGTGAATAAGTCTTCAAGATCTGATGGTTTTATAAAGGGCAGTTCCCTTGCACACACTCTCTTGCATGCCAGCATATAAGACATGCCTTTGCTCCTCCTTCACCTTCCACCATGATTGTGAGGCTTCCCCCCTCATGTGGAACTATGAGTCTATTAAACCTCTTTTCTTTATAAATTACCAAATATTGGGTATTTCTTCATAGCATTATGAAAATGGACTAATACAGTAAATTGGTACCAGGAGTAGTGGGGTGCTGCTTTAAAGACACCCAAAAATGTGGAAGCAACTTTGGAACTAGGTAACAGGCAGAGATTGGAACAGTTTGGAGGGTTCAGAAGAAGGCAGGAAAAAGTGGGACAGTTTGGAACTTCTTAGAGACTTAGAGGGCTCAGAAGACAGGAAGATGTGGGAAAGTTTAGAACTTTCTAGAGTTCCAAACTCTAGAGTGGCTTTGAGAAAAATGCTAATAATCACATGGACAAAAAAATCCAGGCTGAGGTGGTCTCAGATGGAAGTGAAGAACTTCTTGGGAACTGGAGTAAAAGTCACTCTTGCTATGCAAAGAGACTAGCAGCATTTTGTCCCTGCCCTAGAGATATGTGAAACTTTGAACTTGAGAGAGATCATTTAGGGAATCTGGTGGAAGAAATTTCTAAAGTGTTCAAGAGGAAACAGCATAAAAGTTTGAAAAATTTGCAGCCTGATGATGCAGTAGAAAAGACAAACCCATTTTCTGGGGAGAAATTCAAGCCAGCTGCAGAAATTTGCGTAAGTAGCAAGAAGACAAACTTAACCACGAAGACAATGGGGAAAATGTCTCCAAGGCATATCCAAGACCTTGAGGCAGCCCCTCCTATCACAGGCCAGGAGGCCCAGGAGGGAAAAAATGGTCTCCTGGGCCAGGTCTAAGTTCCCCCCTGCTGCGTGCAGTGTAGGGACTTGGTGCCCTGCCTCCCAGCCACTCCAGCCATGGCTAAAAGGGGCCAAGGTACAGCATGGACCATGGCTTTAGAGAGTGCAAGCTCCAAGTCTTGGCAGCTTCCATGTGGTGTTGGGCCTGCAGGTGTACAGAAATCAAGAATTGAGGTTTGGGAGCCTCCACCTAGATTTCAGAGGATGTATGGAAAAGAGAAAGCACCTCCAGGATGTCCAGGCAGAAATTTGCTGCAGGGGCAGAGCCCTCATGGAGAACCTCTGCTAGGGCCATGCAGAAGGGAAATGTGAGGTCAGAGCCCCCACACTGAGTCCCCACTGGGGCACTGCCGAGTGGAGCTGTGAAAAGAGGGCCACTGTCCTCCAGAACCCAGGATGGTAGATACTCAGTGCCAGTCCATGAAAGCAGCCAGGACCAGGGCTCTACCCTGCAAAGTCACAAGGCTGGATCTGTCCATGGCTGTGGGAGTCTATGTCTTGCATCAGCTTGACCTGGATATAAGATGTGGAGTCAAAGGAGATCATTTTGGAGCATTAAGATTTGACTGCCCCATTGGATTTCAGACTTGCATGAAGCCTGTAGCCACATCATTTTGGCCCATTTTTCCATTTGGATTGGGTGTATTTATTCAATGCCTGTACCCCCATTTTATCTTTTTTTTTACTCCCATTGTGAAAAAACTAACTTGCTTTTGTTTGCTTTTGGTTTTACAGGTGCATAGGTGGAAGGGACTTGCCTTGTCTCAGATGAGACTTTGGACTGTGGACTTTTGAGTTAATGCTCAAATGAGTTAAGACTTTGGGGGACTATTGGGAAGGCATGATTTGTTTTGAAATGTGAGGACATGAGATTTGGGAGGGACCAGAAGTGGAATGATATGGTTTGGCTGTGTCCCCACCCAAATCTCATCTTAAATTGTAGCTCGCATAATCCTCATGTGTCATGGGAGGGACCCAGTGGGAGGTAATAAATCATGCAGGTGGGTTTTCCCATGCTGATCTCATGATACTGAATAAGTCTCACAAGATCTGCTGGTTTTATGAATAGCAGTTCCTCTGCACATGCTCTCTTGCCTGCTGCCATGTCAGACATGCCTTTGCTCCTCTTTAGCCTTCTGCCATGATTGTGAGGCCTCCCCAGCCATATGGAATTGTGAGTCCACTAAATCTCTTTTTCTTTTTAAATTACCCAGTTTTGGGTATTTCTTCATAACAGTATGAAAATGAACCCAAATTGTACCAAATGGATCTGATAGACCTCTACAAAACTCTCCACCTCATAATAACATTCTTCTCATCACCACATGGCACACATTCTAAAATGGACTATATAATTGGACAAAAAACAATCCTCAGCAAATGCAAAAGAACTGAAATCATACCAAGCACACTCTCGGGCCACAGTGCAATAAAAATAGTAGCCAAAAACTAAGAAAATCATTCAAAACCATGCAATTAAATGGAAATTAAGCAACATGCTCCTGAATGACTTTGGGTAAATAATGAAATTAAGGCAGAAATCAATAAGTTCTTTTTAACTAAGGAGAACAAAGATACAACATACCAGAATCTCTGAGACATGGATAAGGTAGTGTTCATAGAGAAATTTGTAGGACTCAATGCCCATATCAAAAAATTAGATCTCAAATTAACAACTTAACAAAACAACTGAAAGAATTAGAGAAGTAAAAACAAATCAACCCTAAAGCTAGTGGAAGACAAGAAATAATCAAAATTAGAACTGAACTGAATGAAATTGAGACAAAAAATCATTTAAAAAAATCAAGGAATACAGGAGTTGTTTTTTTGAAAAACTTAATAAGATAAAAAGGCCACCAGCTAGATTAATAAAGGAGAAAAGAAATAAGATCCAAATAAACACAATTAGTAATGATAAAGAGGATGTTACCACTGACCCCACAGAAATATAAATAACCATCAGAAGCTGCTATGAACACCTCTATGCACACAAACTAGAAAGCCTAAAAGAGATGGATAAAATCCTGGGATACATATCCCCTTCCAAGAATGAACTAGGAAGAAATTGATTCCCTGAACAGACCAATAATGAGTTCCAAAACTGAATCAGTAATAGATATCCTACCAACCAGAAAAAAGCTCAGGATCTGATTGATTCACAGCCAAATTCTACCAGATGTACAAAGAAGCGTTGGTACCATTCCTACTGAAACTATTCCAAATATTTGAGGAGGAGGGACTCCTCTTCAACTCATTCTATGAAGCCAGCATCATCCTGATATCAAAACTTCGCAGGGACACACACCAAAAATAAAACTTCAGGCCAATATCCTTGATTAACATTAGTGCAAAAATCCTCAACAAAATACTTGCAAACTGAATCCAGCAGCACATCAAAAAGCTAATCCCCCATGATCAAGTAGGCCTCATCACCAGGATGCAAGGTTGGTTCAACATATGCAAATCAATAAATGTGATTCATCTCATAAGCAGAACAAAAGTCAAAACCATATAATTATTTCAATGGACACAGAAAAGACTTTTGGTAAAATTCAACACTTCTTTCATGTTAAAAACTCTGAATAAACTAGGTATTGAAGGAACATACTTCAAAATAATAAGAGCCATATATAACAAACCCACAGCCAACATCATATTAAATGGGCAAAAACTGGAAGCATTCCCCTTGAAAACTGGCACAAGACGAGGATGCTCTCTCTCACTAATCCTATTCAACATAGTATTGAAAGTCCCAGCCAGAGCAATCAGCCAAGAAAAAGAAAGAATGGGCATCCAAATAGGAAGAGAGGAAGTCAAATAATCTCTGTTTGCAGACAACATGATTCTGTATTTAGAAAACCACATTGTCTCAGCCCAGAAGCTCCTTAAGCTCATAAACAACTTCAGCAAAGTTTCAGGATACAAAATCAATGTGCAAAATTTACTAGCATTCCTGTAAACCAACAATAGTCAAATCGAGAGCCAAATCAGGAAGACAATCCCGCTCACAATTGCCACAAAAAGAATAAAATACCTAGGAATACAGCTAATGAAGGACGTGAAAGATCTGTACAATGAGAACTACAAAACACTGTTCAAATAAATCAGAGAAGAAACAAACCAATGGGAAAACATGCCACACTTATCCCATGCTCATGAATAGGAATAATCAATATCATTAAAATGGCCATACTGCCCAAAGCAATTTAAAGATTCAATGCTATTCCTATCAAACTACCAAGGACATTCTTCATGTAACTAGAAAAATCTATTTTAAAATTCATATGGAACCAAAAAAGAGCCCAAATAGCCAAGGCAATCCTAAGCAAAAAGAACAAAGCTGACTGGAAGCATCATATTACCTGACTTCAAACTATACTACAGGGCTATAGTAACCAAAACAGCATGGTACTAATACAAAAATATGCACATAGACTAATGGAACAGAATAGAGAGCCCAGAAATAATGCCACACATCTACAACCATCTGATCTTTGACCAAGCTGACAAAAACAGCTTGTCTGTTTTGGAGAAAAACTTCCTATTCAATAAATGGTGGTGGGGTGACTGGCTAGTCATATGCAGAAGGTTAAAGCTGCACCACTTTCTTACACTACATACAGAAATCAACTCCAGATGTATTAAAGACTTAAATGTAAAACCCAAAACTATAAAAACCCTGGAAAACAACCTAGTCAATACCATCCTGGACATGGGAACAGTAAATATTTCAGGACAAAAACACCAACAGCCATAGCAACAAAAGCAAAAATTGACAAGTGGGAACTAATTAAGCTGAAGAGCTTCTGCACAGCAAAAGAAACTATCAACAGGGTAAACAGACAACCTACAGAATGTGAGAACATTTTTGCACACTATGCATCCAACAATGAATTTCCAGTATCTATAAGAAACTTAAACAAATTTACCAGGGAAAAACAAACAACCTCATTAAAAAGTGGGCAAAGGACACTAACAGATACTTTTCAAAAGAAGACATTCATGCAGCCAACAAGCATATGAAAAAAAGCTCAATATCCCTGATTATTGGAGAAATGCAAATCAAAACCACAATGAGATACCATCTCAAACCAGTCAGAATGGCCATTATTTAAAAGTCAGAATATAATAGATGCTGGTAAAGATGCAGAGAAAAGCGAATATTTACACCCTGTTGGCAGGAGTGTAAATTAGCTCAGCCATTGTGGAAAACAGAATGGCAATTCCTCAAAGAGCTAAAAGCAGAACTACCATTCAACTCAGCAATCCCATTACTGTGTATATACGCAGAGGAATATAAATCATTCTGTTATAAAGACACATGCACATGATATGTTCATTGCAGCACTATTCACAATAGCAACAACATGGAATCAACATAATGCCCATCAGTGACAGATTGGATAAAGAAAATGTAGTACTTATACACCATGGAATACTACGCAGCCACAAAAAAGAACAAGTTCCTGTCTTTTGCAGGAATATGGGTGGAGCTATCCTTAGCAAACTAATGTAGGAACAGAAAACCAAATACTGCATGTTCTCACTTATAAGTGGGAGCTAAATGATGAGAACTCATGAGCACAATGAATAAATCAAAGACACTAGGGTCTAGTTGAGGGTAGATGGTGGGAGGAGGTAGAGAAGCAGAAAAAACTATTGACTACTGGGTTTAATACATGGGTGATGGAATAATCTGTACAACAAACTCTCATGACACAATTTTATGTAACAAACCTTCGCATATACCCACAAACCTAAACTAAAAGTTAAAAAATAAAATTGAGTTTCAGAAAAGCTGAAAGAGATATTTGAGAACTGCATTTTATAAGTTGTGTTTCTCAAAACATGGGCATTCTGATGGAATGTTAGTTATTTAATAAAGAAAAAATAAGTGAGTTCCATGGGCAAATATATTTGAGAAATATTACATCATTTACCCCAACAGAGAGATTCACAGTACTCAAAAGAATATTAAGGTTCTAGATAGTCCTACAGAGGAGAATCTTGCTAAGCTTTCTTTAAAATAGGTTTCCCAAGCTTATTTCATCAGGGATGTCTTTTTTTCACAGAACACTACTGCCATCTCAATGAATACAATTTGAAAACACTGATCTAAACATATATATATATGTGTATATATATGTATATATATGTGTATATATGTATATATGTGTATATATGTATATATGTGTATATATGTATATATGTGTGTATACATATGTATAGATGTGTGTATATATGTATATATGTGTATATATGTATATATGTGTATATATGTATATATGTGTATATATGTGTATATATGTGTACATATATGTGTATATATACACACATATAGATATGCTGTATGTTATATTCTTCAGCAGCAGTATCATGCAAATCATTGCTTTAATTAAAGTCTAATATCTCAGAAGATGTCTACACCACTGTAAAAATCATATGAGAAACTAAAGCTAATAATAATTAGATCTAACTTAATGGTCACTTCCTTATATACTACTAAAGGAAAGGGTTAATTGTGATTTTTCCTAAATAAAAAACATGAAAAAAATTCAGTATTTGCCAAAGTAAAGGTGGAGCACATGTTCCAAATTTCAGTTTCACCTCAAATATGAAGATAATAAAAACACTTTCTAGTGACTTCCTGTGGAACTCTGAGCAAGTTCCTTACGGTCTTGTCCCCTCCCTGGAAAAACGAAAGAGCTGACTTGAATGATCTCTGAAAACTCTGACATCAAAATCATCCCACACTGATGGTTTAATGTAGATTTTCTGAGTGTGTTGGTGGTATAGTGGTCAGCTTAGCTGGCTCCCAATATATATTTTCCTTTTACATAGACAATTTTCATAATAAAAAAATGTTAATTATATGTTGAATGCCTATTCGCGTTTGTACAGAAAAACAGAAACATGCCTTCAGCTGATAAGGCAATTAAAAATAATCCTTTAAGTATAGATTTCTCACCGTCCGAAAGACAACATTTAGTTTCTTATACTATCACCCTGTTTTTCAGAAGACACCATTAAATGACAAAAGATATAAGACCTATAGAAAACACAAAAGTTGAAAACATTATGAAAACCTCAGAGAGCCAAGGGAAAATCTGAAGAAGCAGAACACACCAGCGTAGTCGAGAGTAATTAACTGGATGAGAAGAATGCTTCTCATTATCCACTCAAACCAACAGCCAGTATGACAAACTCATGTTTAGGCAGATTGAGATAACAATGATTCCTGAGTATTTATAGATTATTAGCCTGTGTCATTCGGAGTTTTCTAGAAAGAACTAGGGTTTATTATGTGTTCATTAGTTCTAGGACTACGGGGCCATGGTTAGTGCCTTTTATTTTAATGAATCTCTTGATTCACTTCTGAATATTAAAGGTAAGAAAACCTATGCAGCCTGGCTAGCTCTCACTACCACTGAAATAATCTGTGCCCTACCCGTGCCCTTTCTAAAGAGTAGCATTGCTTAAGAGTTTGAATTCTTCCACATTTGCCATATTCAGAGATTGTGGTGATAAAGAAAGCCCAGAGTTGTCAGTCTCAAAATTTTTTAAACAAAAAAATAGGATATTGACAATTATAAGGAAATATATATGTTCTAAGAATAAATAATAGCCTTTTGAAAGGAATTCACCCTATGAGAAGATTAGAGGAAAGTTACACCCACTTTTGTGGAAAGAATCATCTGACAGGTAAAAGTCCCAAAGGGAAGAGTCCACGAATAAGCCAAGAAAGGCAGAAAAAGGCCGCAAGGTTGAGTGGAAGAACAAGCAGAAGACGTATGCCTGCCATGGAGTGCGCTTAGACAGGCCTCAGCAGCATGGCTCTGGGAAAAAGTTTTAATAGGGGTAGAAATTTCTTGGTGAGTTTAACTTAGAGATTTGAGAGTTGCAAATCATAAAGAAATTGAGATGTGATGAAACTATTAAAGGTAGAGATGTGTTAACAACCTCTTAAAGTCTAAGAAAATTATAGCCCAAGACTAATCTTCTAGCCAGTAATACCCTGAGAGCCTAACGTATAGGTTAAAATAGCCTCAGTACAAAAGAGAGAGTTAGACACTGTACACACTGTACAGAAAATAGGAGACAGATAAGCCAAATAACATTGTTTATAATAGTGGCTCCTGACTTTGGCTGCCGTTTCAATCACCTGAGAGTCCTTCAAAACATACTTAAGTCCAGTCTCCAGAAATTTGGACTTTGAAACCAGATTGGGACCCATGTATCCCTGCTTTTTAAACGCTCCCAAGTGATTCTAAGGTGCTGCCAGGGCTGAGAATTCCTGAATTATAGCAGAAGAGTCCTTAAATTAAAGGATCATTTGCAGAGCCAGAATCTACCTCTCATTTACCTTTCTAGTCTTTGTTTGTTTTTGCCACCACTCCTCACATCAATAACCATATATTCCACTATTCTCCAAATACACACAGTTTTGCAGGCCTCTGTGCCTTCTTTTGTAATGTCTCATCTGCCTTTAACACATTTTCCCTGCTCTGCTTCTCCTTCTCCATCTGGTGAATTACACCATCTTGAAAAGTCCAGACCAGTGTCACCTTTTCAGTGACGTTGTCACAGGAGCCCATGTTCCCTGTCTCCATTATTGGATAGCATTTTATTCAGTCCAGAAGTCTAGCACTTACTAGTATATCATATTTCATAGTACAGTCTACCACACTCTTGAGACTAACTGCAACACCTACAGCTTCTGCTGAAGGCTAGTCCCTAGGCAGCCTTGTTTTGAACACATGACCCTGCCTCCTCAGCCAAGGGGTCAATTGGTTCAGGGCAAGCACTTGACTGAAGCACAATCATTCCACAGGATAGCCAGTGACCTATGAACCAGGATTCAACTGCATGTGCATTGGGGTTTCAAAATCTGTGCTCTTTCTGCTATGTTCCACTGACAGTTTCTTATTTGTAATTGTGGGATAAATCATTAAAAATAGCACATTTATCATAGAAAATTTAGAAAATAAAAATCAGCAGAAAGAAAATTAAATTCATACTATCTATAATCCCATAAATCAAAAACAATTAAATTGCTAACTTTTTAGAATAATACATATAGTGAGTGAATAAATTGTATATGGTGGAAGAATTCTTTTTAAAGTATGTATATAATTAAAACTCACCAGAGAATGAAATAGTTTTTTTGTTTTGTTTTGTTGTGTTTTGTTTTGTTTTGTTTGAGACAGAGCATCCAGGCTGGACTGCAGTGGTGCAATCTTGGCTCACTGCAACCTTTGCCTCTGGGTTCCAGCAATTCTCCCTGCCACAGCCTCCTGAGTAGCTGGGATTACAGCCGTGCACCACCATGCCCAGCTAATTTTTTGTATTTTTAGTAGAGATGGGGTTTCACCATGTTGGCCAAGCTGGTCTTGAACTCCTGACCTCAAGTGATCTGCCCACCTCAGCCTCCCAAGAGAATGAAATATTCTTTTACAAAATAATTCAAAATACTATATAATAGTCTATAATTTGAAGTTATCATAATTTGTTGTTGGGTACTTAGACTATGTAATTTTTATAAATAATACTACAATAAACATTTTGATTAAATCTTTGCATTTATTCTTAGCTGTTTTAAAATATATATTAATATAATTTGAATTCTGAATTAAATAATATACATATTTTTCAGGATTTTTCTACAAATTGATTAGCTTGCAAAAGGTCTGCATGCTCATATCTCTACATTTTCTCCAACATTTAATATAGTACTAACTTTTTTAAAATCATTCCCTGTTTTAAATCTTTGATAGATTGCCAATGAAGTGATATCTCATTGCTTCAATTTAAATTTCTTTATCAGTTATTTTGGGCATTTTTGTTTTTCCTTTTTGGGGGAGTGAAGGGGCATTTATATTTCTTCACTGTGAATTTTTACTTATTCATTTTGCATTTTTCTTTTTGAATCGGTCTACTTATTGATTTGTAAAGGCTAATTGCACAGTAATGGTATTAATCCTTTCCTGCCATATTTGTGGAAACATTTTTTTCTTATTTTATAACTTACCCTTCTAATTTATTTAGGGTGTTTTTGATCTGCAGAAGCATTTGTTTCCTCTGTAATTGACAACTTCTGTGTTGGCTTCTGCTTTAGGGATTATGCTTAAGAAGATTTTATCTGCCCCCAAAATGAAATAAATATTCACCTTATGTTCTCATATAATTTTAAGTTCTCATTGTTAACCTTTACATTTTTTATCATCTAAAATTTTTATATGTAATAAAAAAGGAATCTAACTCTACTTTCTCCCAAACAGTTCATAGTTTTCATAGCATAATATCAGTATTACGAAGGCCAACTTTATTTTGTATTAAACTCATATTAAAGGCATATATATCAGATGTTTCTGTATTTTCAATTATATTGCATTGATTTGCCTATATTCCTGTGTTGAACCACCCTGTGCAAATCACTGTGCTGTTGCCATATTATTAAGTATCATTTGGAATACTCTCCTTATTAATACTTTTTAAAAATATATTATTATTTGATTATCCCTGCATATAGATTGCAATGTTCTTAAAATGCCTTTGATATTTTAATTGATATTTAATTAGATTTAGAAATTAACTTGGGGCATAGCACCCCATTTCTGTCTTCATCATTGAGAACACTGCCTGAAACTTAGCAAATACTAAATGAATGATAAATAGTTGCTTGATTGAAGCAGATCACTCTGTATTTGGTTTCAGTTTATACAGTTAGTATGTTAGGTCTGTCCCTATAGGAGTGTAAAAAGTATATATTCATATTTACATATCTTTATCTACATTTATTTTACATCTATTTCAATAGAAATGCCGAACCAAACTGGCATGATTGAGGTTGGGGGAGTCACCTGTATAAAATTAAATAAAGTAAGTGTTTTGATGATCAGGGCATAAGCCAAATTCTTTTGTTCTTTTTAGGCTTTCCTTATAGTTAAAAAATTAAATTAATCCCACAAATTAATTTAATAATTTGGATGAACTCAGGCAGAACTCTGAGATGGCCCCTCAAAATTTTTACCCCTTGGTATGCATACACCTTCTCCCAGTTATTTGGTCAAACACGACCCTGAGTACTGCTCTGAAGAGTTTTTGCAGATGTAATTAGGTGCCAGATCAGTTGACTCTAAGAAAGAGTGATTATGCTAGATGAACCTGACTTAATCAGGTGATATCTTAAAAGGGACAGGTCTTTTTCTGGGGAGAAAAAAAAAGAGATTTAATGAGTGAAAGGGATTTGACATCAGGGAGATTCTCTATTGCTGGTTTGAAGACAGAGAAAGCCACACAGCAAGGAATATGGGGACCTCTAAGGAGCTGAGAACTGCCCCAACTGACAGCCGGCAAGGAAATGGAATGTTCAGTCCTGGAACCACAAGGAATTGAATCTTGCCACAACCACATGAGCTTGGAAGAATGCAGCCCAGCACTTTGATTTTAGTTTGTGAGACTCTGGGCAAAGAACTCTTGCATGTTGTATCTGACTTCTGACCTACGGAATTGTGAGCTAAAATACGAAATGTTTTTTTAAACTACTAAATTTGTGCTAATTTGTTCACCAGCAAGAGCAAACTAATATACTTGAATGCAGGTTGACTCATACTTCATTTTTACTCCATATATGAAAGCATTAATGGTAACTTAAATCCACAGATAACTTATTTGTCTTATTAATCAGAATTGGGTATATCAAGTGTCACCATCAAAAGCAATATAGAGTTTTTGCAGTAAGGCAAATTTCACTAAGCTAGGAGAAACTGGGGAATCCATATTGTTATTGCAATAACAGTATGTGTCAATGGGTATACAGCATATCCTAATGTCTTCAATAACAAGAGGCAACATTTGAGCATTTTTAAAAGTCTCTAATTGTTCAGCACCTAGCCAAAGATTTCGTAGTTACATGTTTTGAAGTGATCCCTTACCTTCATTCTGTACCCTATCATAATCTACCCTATTCTCTAATGCAATCTATAGAACAAACACTGAAAAGCTGCAAGTCACACTTAATGTAAAATGTGTTTCTAGAATAGTGACATAGCAGGGGCTCATTAGGTCCCTCCTAATGGATTGACAAAATCCATCATTCAGAAAAGTTCTTATCTGTTTTACACTTAGAAGTAAGGAATAATACATGGAAACAGTAGAACAATTTCATTTCTGTTAAAAGAATAAAAATATTTTTAAGGTTTTTATCTTGGTCAAATGATTTCAGTTTTCCTATATGAGAAAATGCAAAAACCAATATACTAATACATAAGTTATCACAGAATCGGTGAGTAAAGCTGGTCTATTCTATTGAATAGAGAAGTATCTCTTATGCATAAACACATGGTGTGAACACACGCCCACGTGGCAGCTCAACAAAACCTAGAAGAAAGGGAAATGACCGTGGAAAACTTGGCCATATAAGCATTATTTCCTTTACACAAAGCCTGCTTCATTCTTTTGGGACTCCTCCAAAAAATGAAGCCATCTCTTTAATTGGCTTAGTTGTGTTACAAACAAGGTTACTTTTCATAGCGGCAAGTTCATGCTTTCTCCCTTGGTAGAGTAGTTCTGAAAATAAAAGAACTTTCTTTAGCCAGCATCCCCTCTATCAGTTAAAAACAGTGTAGCTTCTAGTTAATGACCTTAACCTGTCTTCCTCGTTTGCTGGCCTTTTATGGGGATTAGTGGTTCTTGAAGTTGAGTCTCTATAGTAGCTTATCACTTTTGACAATGGAAAAATCAGGGCTGAGAATCCTCTTTGGAAAGAATGAACACAAATACTATCTTTAGGGTGCACGTTTAGCATACAGGTACAGCCTGATGCATGCAAGGAGTCTCTTAACCCTGTATACCTCTTCATGCAAGATTCTGGGATACATAAATGACTTTACTCTGGCTTTAAACTAAATTTGAAACTACAGGATCTAGCCTGATAACAACAACCAGGCCAGCCAAGGAAATGTCCTGTTCCATGCAGACTAACCTTATAGTTATTTCAGCAATGTAAGTGAAAGGAGGAGAAAGCAATCCCATTTCTACACCGTAAATTCTCTTTCTTTTGTCAAGGAACTGGATGGGGCCCTGCTCAAATCCCTTTCAAAGGTCACCCGGTCTATGTTGAATCATGGTATTCTTGTAAACTCATAGTATGACCTAGAGCTACCCTAAACTTTTAGAAATTCATCATACTATAGTAACACCTTCAAGTGCATGCTTGAATGAATGACAAAAGGAAGCAAATTGGGACTAGGATTGGAATTAAATTTTTTTATCCTTTTTAAAATATAAATTGAACCTAAATCATATAGACCCTTTGACATCTATTTTTAAATCCAAATGAAAATTTTTAAACATTCTCCACATTAAATACTAGCTACTTTTTTTAAGAAAGTAGAAAAAAAAGTTGACTTTCTTCTCTCCAATATCCTTAATGGAAGAATGACTGGATTGATGTGCAGCCAAGGTAACAGGAGACATAGCAAAGGTATTACAGCATGATCAGTTTGAAAATCTAGCACTGAGCATTGCAAACCTGAAGAGGCTGTAACAGCCTCATGAAGGCACTCACAGAAATCCAGGAAGGTTGTTTGGGATTGAAGTCTGATTCTTTTTTTTCTCTATTTTCTTTTGTTTTAAACCTAATAGAAATGATGCCTTTTCTGTGGTCATGACCATTTCCCTGAAATTCTGGGGAAATTTGTGGCCAGAAATGGACTTTCAGTAACATTGTTTCCTGGCGGAATTTAAAAGAATATTTCCACATCCCCTGAACATTCTAAGGCAATGTGTGAAACAGGGGACTTTATTCTGGAAAAAGAGAATCAGAAGTAAGTCAGCACCAGGAAGGTGATTCCCTAAGGAACTGGACAATTGCACTAATATATCCTTACTTTTACCATCATTACTATAACAGCATTACTTTATAAAGAGTAACCTCTTTGCAATAATATGCTGCCTTAAGTGAAACCATACAAAAACAAAGGATCATATATTCTCATTCTGCTTCTCTGTGCCAGGCCTTTGTGCATCTGATCTCATTTAATTCTCACCATATGTCTGAGAGGTAAATAATATTGTCCCCACATTATAGAAAAGAAAACCGAGGCTCAAAGAGGTTAAATAGCTTGTCCAAAGTCCTACAGCCTGTAAATGACAGGTGCA
This sequence comes from Homo sapiens, assembly GCF_000001405.40. Taxonomy (NCBI): domain Eukaryota; kingdom Metazoa; phylum Chordata; class Mammalia; order Primates; family Hominidae; genus Homo; species Homo sapiens. The sequence continues at coordinate 88,087,419 of NC_000005.10, forward strand.
AAAGTTTAGTCCTTAATCTCTTGCCCTTGATTTTATAACATATAAACTTCCAGAATAAAGGTTTCACACAAATCAAGCCTAATCTCTGTAACAGAAGATAGGCACTAGCCTTTCACAGGGCATCAGATAGGAGAATTAGAGGAATATATCTGTTCTTAGTTCAGAAGAGGAAGAAGTGCCCAAAGTGGAATAAATTACACCAAAAGTAGTAATGATGTATAAAGATTCAAAGAAAATCAATTGAAAGAAATGAAAACATATAAACATGTAATAGCTAAAATATCAATAAATAATAAAATAATAAATAACAAAATAAAATGTTTTTAAAAGCAATGAATGTGACATTGTATCTTTAATTCTTGTCTTCTACCATATCCCCTAAAAGTAAGATGACTATATATTTTATAAAACTGGATTACTTTTGAATGTGAAAGAAGGCCCCATTAAAAATGATTCTAGTTCAGCATAGGTAAGCCAGGACTTTTAACCACTCTGACAATGAAGAACGAAGACAGGTTTTATTCTATGGCAATAGTTGCTCTGTTAATAGGGCTGATAATAAACAAAACATAAATTTCTTGTGTCTTTAGTAACTACCAAACTTCCCTACAATTTCTAATTTTCCCTCTAAAGCTGGCTTCCTCTAGCTACCAAAATGTTTCCTTTAGAGAAAACGATATGATGAGGCATTAATGACTGGACATATTACCCTTTCAGGAGTGTTTCTATTTTAACACAAAACTACGCCTCAAGATAAAGGAGTGAATTTCTAACTGTAGAATATCAGGTATAAGCCACACAGGTATTTGGGGAAGCCAAAAGGCTCCTCAGCATCTGTAAAAATATACTACCCACATGTAAGAAAAGCCCTACCTATCAATTCACCTCCAGCTGTAAACACAATTGAAACTAACTCCAGGGATGATGTCTTTATGAAAGACCAAAGTTGTTTGGAAACAGATATTGGCCAATTCAATTGAAGTTGTAAAATATAAGCAAGAGGATATCTTGCATGTCTCAACTCTCAATATTTTTTTTCTATTGACAACTTCAAAAGTTTTCATCAGGAAAATAGTCATGTGCATAATTGCTTTTCTTGTAAAAGAAAGTCTAAATGTCCCACCAAAATGAATCACCCAATCTAGAAGAGGGTTCTTTCAAATGAGGAATCCAAGATCAGGTTAATGACAGATACAAGTGAACAAGTATTTACCTAGGAGAGGTACAGAGCAGACTTTGAGACATGCTTAATTAAATTAGTAGTTAGTGAATAAGTGAGTAAGTGAACATAAATAAATCTACTACTAGAGACTAAGCCAGATCTCAGACTGATCTACCCAGATCATCTGACTCCAAGTTATGAACTCTTTCTATGTGCAAGACTCAATCTCAAGCTCCGAAAAGTAGAAGCACTACTCAGAGAATAATAACTATTAAAACAAAACATAATAAAACTGCAATCGATGAAATTATTCACTTCAACTAGAAAGATGAGAGAAATATGTGTATAAAAAGAAAATATATTTATAAATAGAGAGAATTTTGTATTTAGGGATGGATGCATTCATAAAATAGAAAAGAATTATTTCTGAGAGCAGAAAGATGAATAAAAAGATTAAATGCTTTAAAACGGGCTAAGGATATAGAGAAATTTGAGTAGAAATGAGAAGAAAGACAAAAAGAACGTCTGTTGTTTTCATTTTGTTTAGTAACTATAAAAATGAATGCATCTATCGTAAATGATTAAATAAAATCATATGACAAAGAGTTACAAACAGCGACATTTGAAAAAAGGAAGAGAGAGGATTTTTAAAGCTAAGGAATACAAATGTACAAAGTTATAACACAAAGAGAGAGAAGAAGAGATACCTTCAAAATATATGAGGATTGATTAAGTAATGCAGAATAAGCAAAGGAAGTATGACTAAATATAACTTGAAGCAACAGATAAGCTACACAATCTATTGGAGAAAAAAATCCAAGCGTGACATTTTAAAATTAAGCATAATTATATGGAAGGAAAGCAAACATCAGAAGTGATAAAGGCAATACACAAGACCATGTGCAAGAAATAATGATAATAAAAGGACAAAGAGCAGAAAGGAGAAAAAATAAGGAGAAAAGAAATCACAGAAAACAAAGTAAATTTTTTATTCAGAAAATTCTACCCTAAAACTTCCCATTTCCATACACACACTCTGTAAAGAACCAGACACACAACTCTTTTCCCAGACAGAGAATGCCTTTGCCCCCAGACATAACCCCTAACCCCCCCTTACAAAAATTCTCCTCTGTGTGCGACCATCTCCTGGGAAAAGCAACTGTTCAGGCAGCAGCGCCTGGGTTGGTCCTTCATTAGAATAGTTCCCACAGGCATGTGTCCTCGCTAGTCATACACAGGAATCCCATATGGCACAATCTGGATCTCATGGAGGTAAAATCTGCATAAAGTAGGATGAGGCCAGGGCCAGTACAAAAGCAGAGACATGCATGTAGCGACATTGGCTTTATGCCCTCTGACCCAGCTCTGTGCCTGTTCCCACACTTCCTACAAACCCAAGCAAGTGTGTCCGAAGGCCTGTAGGTAGCAGCAGTCTGTCACAGGATGAGGATGGGGCTGAAAGGAAGCCCAGAATTAGTCCCCCGACAGTGTGCGGATCAATTTTAAGGCAGTGGCCTGTCATCCAAAAAGAAAACCTACATGTGGCTGCAATTAACCCCGTTAGCATGTGTCTAGCATTGTCCTACTGCCAAGCAAATGACCCTGTAGGGAGATGACCAGAGCACAATATTCCTCTGATATCTGAAGATAACAGATTAGCTCAGTTGTCTGCTATCTGTGACTGGACTAATGGACTTCAAGGTTTCCTTTGTGCATGTATGCCAGCATGTGTGTGGTTTGGAGTAGGTTTTGTTGTTTGTTATTGTTGTTGCTTTCTTTTGTCATCATTTTTTGTCATAATTTTAAGTATACCCACCTTGAAATAAAGCTATGCTTATATCTGCAATTCCTGGAAAATATACAGATTGCCAAGGGTTATAAGTCAGTACATATTATGGTACTATAAATTTTTAAAAAATATTCCTAAACAAATGTATTAACTAACAAGCATCTCTTAATAGAACCCATATGAACACACACAAACATACACACACACATGCACGTGCACACACACACACACACACACACACACACACACAGTGGACACCACTTCCCAGCTGCTCAGCGTAAGAAAGCAAGGCCAAAGTTATCCTCCCAACTTGGAAGTCAGATCTCTAGCTTGTGCCAGTATTTGTGTGTTGCTTGGTAGTCCTTGAATGAAAGAAACTAGAAACATTTAAAAAGTGTGAATTAATCAATTCTTGGTACCAGCCAATTATTCCATAGTTGGCACTTTTATAATTAAAATTCAAAACTGCATGAAAAATTATGACTAAAGCCCATGTTTTAATTCAGGGGTGGGCATTTTATTTTTGGAAACAAAAATGCCTCCTAAATTTTCCTAATTCTTCTGCTGACATTTTAAATACTTCAATATAATACAGTTTCAAAATTCTTTATTAAACATTTTTCCTCTTATGGTTTAAAACAGAATCTTTATTTTGATGGAAAAGAAATTTTAAACCTTCTCCAGCAAGCTTTTTGGTGTCCACTGCATGTTTGAAAAGCAATAAGGACGCCATGGAAGGGCATTTAATTATTCAGGAACAAGGGGAAACAGCCATCTCTCCTTGCCAGGCATCCTGGGCTCCTAGGATATGACATGGAGCATCCTCCAACTCACATGCCCTCTCAGTGTTCTGGATTCTCATCCAACAGATTATCTTTCTGAAGATGATTTGGCCTTGATTTGCCATTCATCTTCAAACATGACACAAAATCCAGACAAACTGCCGCACCTGAATTTTAAGACGTACTCCTCACAAAATAGCAAAAGAAAGCTGCTGCATGGGGTACTAAAATACAGCAGAATTCATTTGCTATGCAGCTGCAAGCACAAGCACAGTTATCATAAATGCCCATTAATGCATACTCCATGTGCTGGACACTTGGCAGGGCTGCTAATCACAGTGTCCTGCAGCCCATCCCGCCCACCCCACTCCCCTCTTCAGTAGGAGTGTCATACTGGCATTCTTGTTTTGCCAGAATATGTTTGACCCACTCCAACATGGGGTGGAGAGTGAAAGAAAAAAATGATAAAGGATAGGGGAGTGAATGAAAGAAAATGAGGACCATTGTTTTTTAACATACTTAATAATAACATCCAATTTGAAATCACCTAAGGGACTTTTTTGGTTCTGTTTTTTGGTTGTTTTCTGAACTGAACCACAATTATATTTGCAAGGAAGAATAAATTGCATCCTTAAATATTGTATTACTTTAAGAAATTTTAAGTATGTTATCCACTAATGCTTTCTAATGCATTTTAAAGGTATTATAGTGACTCTTAACTGAGTAAAATTATATGACATATAGGTTGCTATCATTGTCTTTATGAAGAGATCTACAAGATGTTTTCTAAAAATGTTTCTAACCTAATATTATCTTCATTTATCAAGTAACTAAAATTTAAAACACAACAAGATGGCATCTGTAGACAAAATTGTACACCAAGGACTATACTATACGTTTTTGCTAAGTTGAATGTTCCAATAAAAAGTTTGGAATATTTCATATGCTGTAAGGCCTTTTAGACAAAACTGAAAGATAGGCTGTGGTTATGCTCATAGACAGTTTACTGGCAGGAAACAGAGAGATATTGGGATTGTCCCCCATCAGAATAAATCTCTTTCACTGGAGATCTCCAGAATTCTATCATTAATATTGTGTTTTGTTAGGTTAAATGATACTGGCTCCAACCATCTGCTTTTAAGATATAGACACCCAACTAAGAAGGCTCTAAGTGACTCTCTAACACCTTCATCTTTATGAGTGGCCTGAGGGCATTTCTTGTCCCGATTGGAGGTATTTGTAGGAGAAGGGAGAAAGACCCAACCCTGAAAAGTACTGAGATTCATTGAGAACAAAGGATGTCACCTCTCCCTTATACTTAAGAGATATTCCCTAGTTCTCTATTTAAATGGCAGTATGGCCAGGCCACCCTCTGTCCTATAGAGGACAGGAATGCTTAGTCATGGGGGAGGGGTTCCTTCCCTACAGCATTCTTCCATAATGCCCTGAGGGGCATTTTTTGCTCTGTCTTCATAGAACTCTGAAGGACTATTTTTTTGTATTATTTGTCACCTTACATGTTTTACCATATAGAACTTACAAAATTCCAATTTGACCTTTAAAGCCACTCTATCTTTTTTAAACAGATATCCATCTGTTTGCAGTGATTTTCAGATGAAAATGAGGGTCCCAGTGGTCTTCTCGTTAACAGTGACTTTCCTGATTTCTGACTCTCACTGTAATGCACTAAAACCATGAACATTTCAGTCAATTAACTTCATAATCTGTCCTAAGATTGCTCAATTTTGCTCTTGAAATTTTCTTCATTCTATTAATGCTGTTTTAACACAGAGCATTTTAGAATAGAGAAAATAGAAGTTAACTACTTTGAAGGCAAACTGTAAAGTCATACTCTCCCTAAAACCCTATACCTGACACAATTAACAGATTGATTCTAACGCACTGAAGGGTGCATTCTTTCTGTGCCACTGCCCTAAAGGCTCTTGGAAATTCAGAAGGCAGCCATCTCTCCCAGCCTCCCATCCCATCACCTCAGCAACAGAAACCCTCGGATGCACAGGTCACTCCACTTGAGGCTTTGACAAGAACACATTCCCCGTGGGTGGTCTGGCTTTTACAAGTGTTTGGGCACAAATACATTAATGTGACCTTTTTTAAAAGCAGCTGATCTTTCTCTGCATTCATGGAACAATCATCACACCAATTCTCTGCTTTCTAAAATATTGTCCTTAAAATCTAGCAATGCCAAATACTGCACAATTTCAGATTGTTGTTGATTCCTGGATTTCCATTATCCTTCTGCCAACCAGTCAAAAGCTTATGCATTGTATTCATGTTTTCAGCTCTGCTGTTCTTGGAGCATCTCCATGCTTTGCTGCACTGCAATGATATTTAGTGTCCTGTCAGTTCCCCAGTGGCAAGGAGTGCAACCAAATGGTTTTGCTACTTAATCGGCACAAACTGCAAGCACTTAGAAACCAGGCACAGGAGGGGCTATTCCTGACAACAGTATCAAAAATGCATCCAAATAAGTAAAATGACTTGGACTATTGACAAGCAAAGAGCGCTCCTAAACTTTTGTTCTAATTTTTAAAAAAATAATATTTCAGGATCCAGCTTTATATACTGATATCTGCAAATGAAGTTAATTCAATCTAGATGAGACACTGGGCATATTTCTCATTCATATAACAGGTTGTTCAGAGTCTCAGAAAGTATTAAAATATTTTCTTCATGATTGGAAGGAAACATTATTTGCAACAGCTGTAACCTGAGGGCGAAAATACCTAATTCACTCGTAGATTATTAAAAAGCAGCAGGACGTACTCAAAATGAAAGGACCTTAGTTCTTCAGATTGAGGTGACTAGTTAAGGAGAGAAACAGCAGGACTTTTCAAGGGGTTTTTTTGAGGTCTGAGTTCTAAGGAAGTTGCAAAAGCTTCTTAAAGTTCTGGTGGTTCAGCAAAGAAGCTACCAAATTAATTTGATTGCTTTTAAAAGAGGGGAAAGGAGAAAGAGTGAACAGTGAATTATTCACAAGGCCCCATTAACTAAAATGTGTATGTATGTGTGTTTTGTGTGTATGTGTGTTTTTTATGTGTATATGTGTGTTTTAAACTGACTTTAAAAGTCACTGACTTTCACAAAACACAAATAGATGGGTCAACTTCAAAGGAAATCTAAAGTGAAGGACAAGTAGACACAAAAGCCTATTTTAGATACCTATCCACCAACCCCTGAACTTCCTGTTACCAAAAAACAACCCATCCTCCTCCTGTCTCATGATGCTGCATGTGTTTCACGCTCTCCTCCTTGTTACTGAAAATGTCCTTTCTTTCCTCCTTTGTTCTGTCCAAGCCTCTATTTCTACTCTTTCCTCCCTTCCCCGTAACCTCTGCCATTCTTCAGCAGACTCTTGCTCTGTGCCATGACCTTGCCCATGTTCTTTCAGGTCAGAGATTCTTGAACTTCTCCCTGACCCTGACTCTTGTTCCGGCTCTATTCTTGTCCTAGAGCTGATTGCCAGAGGGCTTCCTGGCAGGCTTCTGGGAGGACTGAGGGCAGTGTCAGCCTGGCTAGACTTTCTGATCCATGCACTTAAGCCCCTTATTGACAGCAGCTTCCCAGAGGTGGAAAGCATGAGTCAATTTTGAACTTGAAAATTTTGCATGGTTTCCAACTGTCCTGAATGTATTCTTCTGTTTCATGTGATTATCAGTTTGCAGCATGCTGCTGGCTACCTAAATCCCATGCAAATCACTTGCAAGATGTAGGCTCAGTGAAAAACACTCTCCCACATGTACAATTAGAACCAAGCATTATTCCCTACAAATCTAGCTCTAAGAAATGAAAAAGGGAGGTTATTATTATTTTTAATATTAATAGCAACTATTAACCATTAATTTAGCCTAAATCATCTGCAAGGGAAATCTGTGCTGCTTGCTTGTTAGTTGAACGGAGTGCATGATAATGTTCTGTTGTGTGCTATGTGGCATATTCAGTTGCTAGGTTACCCAGAGCATCAGGAATTCAGGGAACAATGTACTTATATCTTTTTCAATTTTGAAAAATAAAATAGGTATTGACATAAAATACAGTGTGGCACTGAAGTAATTTTGTAGTGGAGAGATCAGAGGAAGGGGGCCTTTCATCTCAGTGACAGCAGTTTACTCCTCGTTGTGACTTACTGAGGGCAGTGGCAGGACAGCACAATAGGATGTCAGTCTCTGGCAGAATGCTTGTGGTCCCTGTACCCCAGCAACTGTTTCTTGAGTCAGGCTCCCCAAAGCCATCCAGCAGCTGCTGTTCTGAGCTATGTCAACTGGTCCTACAGAAACCCTTGACAGGTCCAGTGATGTATGAGCATGCAAGGGAAAAGCCAAACCTTTCATGTTAAGAACAAGTATGACAGATCTGGCTAAGGTCCTCAGTTGGCCGAGGCCATGCCAGGAGCTTTTTTAAAATGATTATTATTGTTATCACCTTCGTACTCAGAGATAATGTCATAATGTACAGTCAGCCATTGTGTGATCCAAATGATTGATGCCACTTGGACATGAATTGGTGGGGTTAATAATGGTCTTTCAGTGGGGCCCAGCATGGGAGGAAGCTCTCTCAGAAAGGCTGCCTTCACTTTGATATTCTGCTCAAGACAGGAAGGTGGACTTCTAGAAGTCAACACTCCATCATCCTCTACTTCTGAAAGCATCCCCAGGGCCCTGGTGAGAACTAGGGGTGGGGAAACCACAAAAGTTCCTTTCTGTTCTTTCCAAAAGTACATTTGCTTGTGTTCAACCTTCAGCAGTGGATGTAATCATAGAAGTTCCATTGAGGTATGCACTGTTAATTCTCTGATGAAAAAACAGCTACTTTTGGAAGGTATAGTTCAAGAATCCAAACAAGGGATCTGCCCCATCCCCAGCAGCATTATTCAGTCAGAACCCAAACTAGAGGGGGTTACATCCATGTTCTTTAATCTATTAATCATGGCATTATATTGAGCACCTACAGCCAGACATTGTGCTAATGCTGAGAGAAAGTCAACAGTGATTAAGATAATATTCTTATTTTTAAGGTTATTAAAACCAGTTGGGGATACTGTAATACATTTAAAGAAAGAAAATGCAGGATGGAGAAGATTGTCATTTATTTTATACCTATGTGGTAGGTACTACAATGCAATTAGGCAAAACTTTGGGAAATTGAAATTGAATCTAAGAGATGGTGTCTTGTCCAAAGTCACACAAACGGGTAGAGAACAAGGATTCTAACCTAGATCTTTCTGAGCCTTCTTTCTCCTACTCTATTTCCCAGTGTTCAGATAACACTATGTGGTGAGAATTATTTTTTCAAAAACTAATACAAAGTACTACAAAAATTGAGAAAAGATAGCTTGTGAACGAGGCCATCAGAGAAGGCTTCTTGAAATATATGGTGAAATGTATGGTGAAATCTCCTTCCTTGAAGAAGGAGAGAATTTAGAATGAAAGAAGAGTGGGCCATAAAAATCTTGTTGTGAGTTATTTTTTTCTGTCTGGAGACTCACTACGCCTTTGTTTTAGCACTTCCAAAAAGGAGAACTACTCTTTAAAATGACTAAACTTGGACAGCTTGCACCATTAAGTAGCAACATTCATTTTTCTCAAACACTGCAGTTCACCTGTCTCACTGAAAGATATTATTAAGCCATCACCATATAAGCATCCTTCATCTTGAATTTCCTTTTTGGCTTTATACCTACATCCAGTGATATCTTTCCTGCAAAGGGCCTAAAGCACTTAAAAACAGATGATATTATTACTATTTTACCAACAATGACATTGAATTGTATCCACTATGTCTAACACTGTCTGTCCCTGGAATTATCATATGTACTAGTGATAAGGATTATTCTTTATGAACAGAAAAAACACAGGTGCACTGAGCCTTCCCAGGTAATGAAATAAGGCAGAATTGCTTTATAAATACAGAGTAGATGTGCAATAAATAGTGAATAAGATCAACTCTAACAACACATCAACATCCTCAAAAGCAACCTAGCTGAGGGTCCCACTTCTTTTCATTCTGAGTCTATTAATCCTGTCAGTCTTCAACTGCCTTCCATAGCCGTCATAGGAAAGCCCAAATTCATCAGCATGGCATCTAGGGTCGCTCCACAGTTTGACACTAGTCTGGACTGACATTTCCCAAAGTCTCTTCCTTATGTAAGTCTAAGTTAGTTGGATACAAGAGAAAGTGCCCAAGGAACTCCCAAGGAAGCCAAAAGTGCAGCAGGAGCTATGATGTCATGAAGGTTAGTGGGTATTGGTGCCAGGCTCCATCACCACTCACACACTCTATGCCAGTCTGCTGGATCACCTTCTGCAGGGTACTTACATCAAAGTTGAAGGCAGTGATAGATGAAGGTTCCAAATTGTTCTCATGTGCTCCCATTTGTCTTCTCTCTCCTCCTCTTTGCGTCCAGCTTCTTTTCCAAACTGCTGATCCTGCTGACCTTCACGCCCACCCCCAGAAGCGTAGCCAACAATCTTCCATAGACTTCTTCAGCTCTGATAATTATATGAGGTCTAATCCCTATAATAAACTCCTTATTTCATATTATTCTTACTGTGTCTCTTTCCCTGATAATGCTCTAATAAATACACTAACCTATATACCTGCAACGGACTGAATGTCTAAACTCCTCCAAAATTCATGTGTCAAATTCTAACCCTACATTACAGTATCAGGAGGTAAGGCCTAATATGTTTGGCTTTGTGTCCCCACCCAAATCTCATCTTGAATTCCCATAATCCCCATGTGTCTTGGGAGGGACCCAGTGGAAGGTAATTGAATCATGAATGTGCTTACCCTCATGCTGTTCTCACAATAGCGAGCAAGTTCTCACAAGATCTGAAGGTTTTTTAAGGAGATTTTCCCCCTTTGCTCAGCACTTCTCCTTCCTGCTGCCCCCTGAAGAAGGTGCCTTTCTTCCCCTTTGCTTTCTGCCATGATTGTAAGTTTCCTAAGGCCTTCCCAGCCATGCAAAACTGTGAGCCAATTAAACCTCTTTTATTTATAAATTACCCAGTCTTGGGTATTTCTTCATAGCAGTATGAGAACAGACTAATACAGGGTCTTTAGGAGGTTACTACGTTACATACTATGTTACAGATTAGTGTCCTTAGAAAGGTACCCTAGAGAGCTCTCTCACCCTCTTTTCATCATGTGAGGATATGCTGAGAAGTCAGCATGCAATCAGCAACCCAGAAAAGGGACCACATTCGAACCCAATCACTCTGGCACCTGGATCTCAGACTTCCAACCTTCAGAAACCAATTTCTGTTGTTTATAAGCCACCTAGCCTATAGTACCTCATTATAACAGCCTGAACTAAGACAGTACCCTTAATCATCTTTATATTCCATTCTTCCTCAAAAGAGAAGTAATGATAACTTCTCTTTATATTCCACAACTCAAAGAGAAGTTATCATTCAATTTCATTCTATTGCTTCCCCCTAGGATGCCATTCCTTGCTTCCCTATTGCTATGGTTTGAGTGTGTTCTCTCAATTCATGTGTTGTAAACTTTATTCCCAATGCAACTGTGTTGTGAGATGAAGCCTAATAAGAAAGAATTGTGTCACAAGGACAGAGTCCTCATGAAAGGATTAATGTCTTTATTGTGGTAGTCGGTTAGTTATTGCAAGAGTGTGTTATTATGAAGGGAGTTCACCTTTCTCACTATCTCCCACATGCTTTCTTCCACCTGTTGCCTTCCACCATGGAGTGACTCTTGCCAGATGACAGCACCATGCTCTTGGACATCTTCACCTCCAGATCCATGAGCCAAATAAACTTCTGTTCTTTATAAATTACCTAGTCTATGGTATTCTGTTATAGCAGCAGAAAACAGACTAAGGCACCTACATTTGAGATGATAATAATAATAATAGCCAACATATACATAGATCTTAACAATGTAATCTTTAAAGCACCCCTAAGAGATAAGTTACTATTGCTATCCTGACTTTAGAGATGAATAAAGGGAGCCTCACGGACATTAAAATTAGCTTGCCAAAGATCCCTCAGCTAATAAGAGGTGACAGCAGGTTTTTAAACCAGTCAGTCTGATTCCAGAATCCCTGCCTTTAATCACTATTCTATGCTGTCTCTTACATACCACATAGCCTACACCTAAGGTGTGCTGTGTTAACAAATAAAGCCTCAAATCTCAGTGGTTTAACATAATAAATATGATTTCACACTCATGCAAAATGAAATCTGTATCAGGCTTTCTCCTCACCATCTGGAATCCGGCCCCTAAGATTGCTGCTGCAGAGAAAGAAATGACCACAGGATTTTGCAGGCCTATTTTAAAAGCCAGGCCTGCAAATGACTTACATCTCTTCCACCCACATCCCATTGGTCACATCCCAGTCACATGGACCTGGTCTAAATGCAAGAAGGCCTACAAAAGATGGGTACGTGGATGTGTAGCAAACACTGACCATCTCTGCCATGCTTATCCTTCAAAATTCATCTTTCTCCCCAAAAGCTGTCTTCTAAGCCGAATGAATCTCTATTTCTTCAGTACCTAAAGCACTATGTTTGCAAACCTATTTAGTAGCATATAACATCTTTTTTTAATACGATTTATTTTAACTTCATTTTTTATCAAAGTGAAAAAAAAAAGAAGAACCTGCACATTATTGAAGTCCGTTTAGCATGCCTCTTCAGGAAGATAAACAGGAGCCTCTTACCACAGCCCTTTAGAGCCCTCCCTCTCCCTGCTCCATTCTAGACTGTTTATCCTGTAGTTCTGCAACTCAGTTGCCATCTCAGCTCTTCCTTCTTCTTCTCTCCTACATGGAATCCTTGCATCCTTCCCATGTCATTATCTGAGTTATGCTTTCATTTTGTTAAAGAAAGTCTCAAATGGCTTCTGCAAACATTGGAGGCAAATTTTCTGAGATTCTGCCTACAAAATGCATTCATTCTCCTCTGTACTTAATGTATTCTTTAAATGTATATGGAATTCTGAGCTTCCATTGTTGACATTGAGAAGTTTGATGACGTTATAATTCTTGATCCTTTGTAAGCAAGCTACTTTTCCTCACCTGCATTTTAAAGAATCTTCTTTATATTTGTGTTGTCCTGAAATTTCCTTGCGAGGTGTTTTGCTGTGGATCCTTCACGAGCCCTCATTCTGGGCACTCAGTGGGTTCTTTCAATGCTGGAATGTATGTCCTTTAATTCTGGAAATTTTCTTATAATGTCTTTGTTCAGTTTTTTCTTTTTTCATTCTCTTTCTGAACATTTTAGGAGTAAGATGTTGGCCTTTCTGGATTTCTCTCTCTCTCTCTCTCTCACTCTCTCTCTCTCTCTCTCAACAGGGACTCACTCTGCCACCCAAGCTGGAGTGCAGCGGTGTGATCATGGCTTACTGCAGCCTCGACCTCCGGGGCTCAAGCTATCGTCCTGCCTCAGCCTCCTTTGTAGCTGGGACCACAAGTGTAGACCCCCACACCCAGCTAATTTCTTTATTTTTGTAGAGATGGGGTCTCCACATGTTGCCCAGGCTGGTCTCTAACTCTTGGGCTCAAGCAATCTGCCCACCTTTGCCTCCCAAAGTGCTGAGATTACAGGAGTGAGCCACTGTGCCTGGCCTTAGATTGGTCTCTTAATATTCTTATCTTTTCTTGATTTTTGCCCATTTCTTTGTCTTTTTCCTCCACTTTCTGAAAATTGGTCTTAAGTTCTGAATTTTCTATTGCTTTTAATTTTTAATTTGGCTATCTGATGTTTAATTTCCAAGAGCTCTTTTTTGTTGTTTTTTGAGTATCTTTTTAATGGTTCTTAATTCACATATAAGGTATATTCGCTCAGCTCTCTAAGGATTTTATCAATGGCTTTGAGGTAGAAGAGTGCATTTCTTCTGTTTTCTGCCTTATCTATATTTTCCTCTAAGTTCTTTTGGTTCTCTCTCTCTCTCTCTTTCTCTCCCCTCCCCCATCCCCCACCCTTTTCTCTCCTCTGCTTTTCTTGCTGGAGGCTTTCATCAGGTATCTAGTAAGTTGCTGCCCATTCACATTTAAGAGTGAAACACTAAAAAGCTGTTTGGAATATGTATATGAAGGTGGAACTTATCAATTGGTGGGTTTCACTGCTGGCTAGAGACATAGCCCTTTAGGGGGGTGACTCCCAAATATCGGTCTCTTTAGACAGACACAGACCAACACTCTATACTAGTTCAGTAGCTATGGAGAAAATTCTCCACTCTGCCTGAGGATAGAGGCCTGATTTCAAGTATTCTTTTAGCCAAGCAGCTCAAGGAGGGCTTAACATTCAGTTTGAAGGCTTTCCTCTAGTCCTCCTGTTTTTAATATATAGTGTCTTTCTTCCCACCATTCATTTCAGCCTCTCCAGTTCAATTTTTTCACAAAATAAAACCACTCTTCCCTGTTACCATTGGCAAAGGGAAAAACCAAGGAGCTCTAGGTGCTTGTTATAGAAATGTCCAACCAGTTCTCCCTGTTTTCAACTCCTTACATTATTTCTGTCTTCGATGATACCAAGTGTCTTTAATCTCTGAGACTTTCTGGGATTTTGTGGCAAAATTTCATGTTTCTCATTGCCATTACCCTCTGTACATATTTAGAATCAGGTTTTCCGCCTCTGGGAACTTCTACATCCACTTCTATCTTCTAAAAAGGGCTTAATCTATTATTATATATCCTCCCATTCTGCTTATGCCTATTAGTTCACATATTTTCTCTCATTTTATTGGTATTTCAAGAGGGTACAAGGTAAACAAATATATTCTATCCACTGTTTAACCAGCCTGTGTTCTGTCCATGTACATACTTTCTTTACTCCAATAGAGTGTCAATTCCTTGAAGGCAGGTACTGTAACTCATTCTGCCTTTTATCTACCATGGTGTCTTGTACATAGCAGAATCTCAATAAATAGATATTTTATTGGAGAGCTGGAAAACGTCCTGAAATTCTACCCAGAAGCTCACAAAACCTCTTTTCCCTCGAAGTATTTGAAAAACATTTTTTCAACTTTTAAGTTCAAGGGTACAAGTGAAGGTTTGTTACATAGGTGAACTTGTGTCATGAGGGTATGTTGAACAGATTATTTCATCAGCCAGGTATTATGCCTAGTACGCATTAGTTATTTTTCCTTATTCTCTCCCTCCTCCCAACCTCCAGTCTCTGAAAGGCCCCAGTGTGTGTTGTTCCTCTTTATATGTCCCTATGTTCTCATGATTTAGCTCTCACTTACAAGTGAAGACAGGTGGTATTTGGTTTTCTGCTCCTGCATTAGTTTGCTAAGGATAATGGCCTCCAGCTCCATCCATGACTTTGCAAAGGACACGATCTCATTCTTTTTTATGGCTGCATACTATTCCATGGTGTATGTGTATCACATTTTCTTTATCCAGTCTATCATTGATGGGCATTTGGGTTGGTTCCAAGTCTTTGCTATTGTGAATAGCACTGCAATAAACATACACGTGCATGTGTCAGCCATTGTGGAAGACAGTGTAGTGATTCCTCAAAGACCTGAAGACATAAATACCATTCAACCCAGCAATCCCATTACCGAGTATGTACCCATACTCAGTATATAATCATATATTCCAAGTATATATAAAGGAATATAAATCATTTGATATAAAGACACATGCACATGTATGCTCATTGCAGCATGATTCAGAATAACATAACTTCTTAAAAGAATAAAATGTTTAGACAAAAATGTTCTGTCACTAAGCCCTGTAACTGTGTAGACCAGACTTTACATGTCCTCATCTCATTGTTTAGATATTTGTGTTGACTATTCAACCTCAACTTTTTAACCAAAAGCCTAAAACAATATAATTTACAGTGAAATAATCAAAACATCTCTGATTATTTCAAAGCATTGAAGACAAAGCCAGACAGGATTTCAGGGTAAGTGGAATTCTATGCTGTGACTGAAAAATACAGTTCTCTCCCATTTTACTCTCAATCTTGAGGCTTCTATTGGCATCCTCCTGTTGTAATTGGAATGATTCTGCCACCAAAAATACTTAGAAGGTAGTGACCCAATCTCTCAGTGATTTTTTAAACAATGGTATAAATATTGATTACTTACACAACTAGGAATAAGATAGTGTCCTCAAAGTAAGAGATGATGATTTAAAATGGCAAAGTATAAATCCACATCTGTTTTCTATGACACAAATAAAGATTATTTCTAAATTATCAACATTTTCTTCCTCATAGCTTCTGTGTGTATATATCTTTCTAAATTGCCATTTTCGATTGGGCATCATTTTTAGCTGAGAATTTTTCAAATATGTTGTTTTAACTGCTGCTGTTTTGGTTTATGTATTTTAATTGAAGTTTCAAATTGTGTGCTTGCACCCCATGGAGTAATAACCACAAAGGGTAGAATTTTGTTAATTGAAAGAATAAATTTGAAAACAATGCCCTAAATAAGTTAGACAACTAGGTTATAGATGAGACTTCCAAGAGATATACAGATATATTTGTTAGTGCCTGTAGGCACCCTTAAATACATGTGGATCCTTTTATATAATAATAACAGATAGAATGGTAACATAAAAGTGTAAACTGCTTTAAAAAAAGCATTATATTCTTGAACTAGTTGAGTTGTAAAGTGTTTCTAAAGAAAGAATTTCACAAAGATTAAAATGTCATTATTTGCTCATAATCACTGCGTAACCACTATATGCCAGATACTATTCTAGGCACTAGAGAAAAAAATAAATGACCAAAAATAAAATAATTTGCCTTTAAGGAATTTACCATCAAGAGATAGACACACAAACAGTTGGAAAACAATGTGAAAACTGCTAGAGAATGGCTAGACATGGAGTTCTACGGGCATCGAAAAGAGAATTTTCAATTGAGACTTGCAAGATAGTTAGATATTATCCAGGAGAGAAAAAACTGCAGGGGTCATTCCATAAGGAAAGCCAAGTGTGCAGAACACACAGAAAGGAAAGATTCAGTGTGGCTGGGGAGCTATGAACAGATTGAGGGTCAGAGGGAGAAAAGGGAGCCAGAGAGGAGGGCAGAGCCAGACTGTGAAAGACTATATATGCCATGCTAAGGAGCTTAGACAAGAAGCAACTGGAAATATGTAGAGAATTGTATGTGATGGAGTAAATAAATCAAATCCAATTTTAGAGAAGTCACAGTGATATGAAGAAGGAACTGCAAGAGGACAAGAATAAAGGTGGAGGGTTGTTGCACTACCCAGGAGAGAAATAATAAGGGCCTGAACTGAGGGGCTGAAAGGTAAATTCAGACTATAGGAGATGGAATTGACTGGAATTGGTGATTAATAAGATGAAGCTGTGAAGGAAAGAAGGAGTCGAAGATGACTATATGATTCTACTTACATCAGATATCCAAATTGTCAAATTCATAGAAATAAAAAATAGAGTGGTGGTTGCCAGGGTTCTGGGAGGGAGGGGAGAGAAATGGGAAATTTTTGTGTAATGGACATAGAATTAGTTTTGCAAGATAAAAAAGTTCTGTAGACCTATTGCATAATAATGTAAATATACTCAACACTACTGAACTGTACACTTAAAAATGGTTGAGGTAGTAATTAAATTTTGTTATATGTTTATTAAAGAAAAGAAAATTAAAATTAAACCTAAGCAAAAGTAAATCCAGGAAATTACTTGTCAGTTAACTGAACCATCAAACCAGTTATTTCCTTTAATCTACTGGTTGTTTGATAAATTGAACTGATCAATGAATGGAACTAAAATAAATAGTTTTACTTATATATAAACCCACATTATGGTCTGAATATTTGCATCTCCCCAAAATTCATTTGTTGAAATCCTAACCCCCATATAGATGGCATTAGGAGGTGGATTTTTGAAAGTTGATTAGGACATAAAGGCATGGCCTTCATGAATAAAATTAGTGGCCTTGTAAAAGAAGCCCCAGAGAGCTGCCTTTCTCCTTCTACCATGTGAATACACAGCTAGAAGCCTCTATGGACCAGAAAATGGCACCTCACCATACACCGAATGTACCCGCACTTTGATCTTGAACTTCTCAGCCTCCAGAACTGAGAGAAATAAATTTCTGTTATTTATAAGCCAGCTAGTCCATGGTACTGGGTTAAAGCAGCACAAACAAACTAAGATAATCAAAAATGTAGTAAATAAGAAGAAGTTTTTTTGAAGCTAAAAATGATATATATGCACCCTTAAAAGTTTTAGGGAAGGTGCTGACTAGGGCCAAAATTGCCTGTCTACGTTTCTTCTATTAACATTAATCTCTCTTCAGTAAGGTGTATAGTTTGTATGATGACATTGTAGTTCCCAAAATAATTATTAATTTAATTATTTAGATTAGGGATTATCATTTCCATGTGTTATGTGGTTAAACCTAGTAAAGTAACAATGTACATCAAGTTGTTTTAGCCAAGAAGCTAGGTTTTTAAACTAATTTGATATATTAATAGTGTTTAATAAAATTACAAATAAATATACCATTTCATTAATATTAGAATCACCACAGACAGAAGTGACTAGATTGCTCATCATTGATGACCCTCAATCATCCCATGTATGCATGCATCGTATCATCATGTTCAGGAGTATTAGATAGAAATGATCTCACCCCATTCCTTTGGTTTCCCTAAGAAGGTATTTTTCCCTAACCACTCGTACATTTTTGCCCCACAGCATCTCTCTCCTCATCAGGTAGAGAAACCTACCTACAACAGACACAGAGGTCAGAGGCATGGGTGTCTCTTGGTTCCCACAGGAAGCTATCATCTTGCTTTGCTCCTCTATGCTGGAAGTTGTACCGCAGCAGGCCCCATGTGAGGTGCCCTGCTCTGATCCAGTGCTGCCTGTGACTAATTTTGCAGTTTGATGATAGGGATTTCACTATTGCCCACATTCTCCACTATTAGCCTTGGTGAACACTTGGGCTTTTCATCTGACTATCTTTTGTCTCATTTCTCCAATGATTCTACACTCTGGATGAGAAAAGGGATTATACACAAATTCCAGAAAGGTCTACTTTTAACAAAATATATTTCAGGATATCAAGATTTAATTGTTTGCTCTAACATAACATGTGATTGTCTTTATTGATTCAGATATTAAATACATGGATACATATAAAGAAAAATGAAGTAGGCCGGGCACGGTGGCTCACACCTGTAATCCCAGCACTTTGGGAGGCAGAGGCGGACAGATCATGAGGTCAGGAGATTGTGACCATCCAGGCTAACACAGTGAAACCCTGTCTGTACTAAAAATACAAAAAATTAGCTGGGCGTGGTGGCGGGTGCATATAGTCCTAGCTATTTGGGAGGCTGAGGCAGGAGAATGGCATGAACCCAGTGCAGTGAGACGAGATCACACCACTGCACTCCAGCCTGGGTGACAGAGCGAGGCTCCATCTCAAAAAAAAATGAAGTATAGGTCTTAATTAACCAGCATAGACAGGAACTTGAGAATTTAAGAATGTTATAAGAAATAGGGCTCTTTCGAATGAAATACCTAGGAATCCAACTTACAAGGGATGTGAAGGACCTCTTCAAGGAGAACTACAAAACACTGCTCAATGAAATAAAAGAGGATACAAACAAATGGAAGAACATTCCATGCTCATGGGTAGGAAGAATCAATATCGTGAAAATGGCCATACTGCCCAAGGTAATTTATAGATTCAATGCCATCCCCATCAAGCTACCAATGACTTTCTTCACAGAATTGGAAAAAACTACTTTAAAGTTCATATGGAACCAAAAAACAGCCCACATTGCCAAGTCAACCCTAAGCCAAAAGAACAAAGCTGGAGGCATCATGCTACCTGACTTCAAACTATACTACAAGGCTACAGTAACCAAAACAGCATAGTACTGGTACCAAAACAGAGATATAGATCAATGGAACAGAACAGAGCCCTCAGAAATAATGCCGCATATCTACAACTATCTGATCTTTGACAAACCTGAGAAAAACAAGCAACGGGGAAAGGATTCCCTATTTAATAAATGGTGCTGGGAAAATTGGCTAGCCATATGTAGAAAACTGAAACTGGATCCCTTCCTTACACCTTATACAAAAATTAATTCAAGATGGATTAAAGACTTACATGTTAGACCTAAAACCATAAAAACCCTAGAAGAAAACCTAGGCAATACCATTCAGGACATAGGCATGGGCACGGACTTCATGTCTAAAACACCAAAAGCAATGGCAACAAAAGACAAAATTGACAAATGGGATCTAATTAACCTGAAGAGCTTCTGCACAGCAAAAGAAACTACCATCAGACTGAACAGGCAACTTCCAGAATGGGAGAAAATTTTTGCAATCTACTCATCTGACAAAGGGCTAATATCCAGAATCTACAATGAACTCAAACAAATTTACAAGAAAAAAACAAATAACCCCATCAAAATTGGGTGAAGGATATGAACAGACACTTGTCAAAAGAAGACATTTATGCAGCCAAAAAACACATGAAAAAATGCTCATCATCACTGGCCATCAGAGAAATGCAAATCAAAACCACAATGAGATACCATCTCACACCAGTTAGAATGGCGATCATTCAAAAGTCAGGAAACAACAGGTGCTGGAGAGGATGTGGAGAAATAGGAACACTTCTACACTGTTGGTGGGACTGTAAATTAGTTCAACCATTGTGGAAGTCAGTGTGGCAATTCCTCAGGGATCTAGAACTAGAAATACCATTTGACCCAGCCATCTCATTACTGGGTATATACCCAAAGGATTGTAAATCATGCTGCTCTAAAGACACATACACACGTATGCTTATTGTGGCATTATTCACAATAGCAAAGACTTGGAACCAACCCAAATGTCCAACAATGATAGACTGGATTAAGAAAATGTGGCACATATACACCATGGAATACTATGCAGCCATAAAAAAGGATGAGTTCATGTCCTTTGCAGGGACATGGATGAAGCTGGAAACCATCATTCTCAGCAAACTATCGCAAGGACAAAAAACCAAACACCGCATGTTCTCACTCATAGGTGGGAATTGAACAATGAGAACACATGGACACAGGAAGGGGAACATCACACACCAGGGACTGTTGTGGGGAGGCGGGAGAGGGGAGGGATAGCATTAGGAGATATACCTATGCTAAATGACGAGTTAATGGGTGCAGCACACCAGCATGGCACATGTATACATATGTAACAAACCTGCATGTTATAAACATGTACCCTAAAACTTAAAGTATAATAATAATAAAATAAAAAATAAAAAAATAAAAAAAAGAAATAGGGCTCTTTCACACAACTCTTTTAACTATTCCCCAAATATGTTAAATCTATTAGTAGTCCAAACCACAGCTGTTGCATTAAAATTTAAATAGTAAATATAGATTTTTAAAGTCCTTACATTTAATATTAACTTTTCTTCTGTATGGAGAAGTAAAAAAAATTCTCTAGACAACTGACTAATGTTTATTTCTCCAACGCATTCACCAAACACCAACTGATCACCTAAGGGCAAAACACCACTGATAAACACTATGTATACAAACCCTCGTGGTTTCTACTTTTAAAGGGCACAAATAAAACGGTGGAGATGTACATATGTACAGGTACCTAGAATAAGAAGGTATTTGCTAAGTCTCATAGAAGGTAATAAAAATTGCACGGATGTTTACAACAAATAGAGGTCTCTTTCAGAGGAGAAATGCCTGTGCAAAGTAGGGGGCATTTTCATCGGAATGTGTACAACAGTGAGCAAACATGAAGTTTGGAAAGCACAAAGCAAAGAGCTTTTGGAGAGCAGTGAGAGATAAAACTGGAAAGGTATTTTGGGGCCATATCTGGAGCAGAGCTTGAATCCTAAAAAGAGTTAAAAATAATTGGAAAAAGGGCTGTGTGGGATGAGCAGTGAGTCAGCAAAAGATGAATAAAAGAAGTGCTGAGCAGAAAGGACAGCTCAGTTAAAGTGAACAAGCATAAATTTGTGGCAGACTCAATCAGTGCAGCTTTCTCAGCCTAGCAAGGAAATATTTAGAAGTTCAAGGTCCACGGGAAATTTTAGGCATTAAGTGAAGGCACTGCTGAGTCGGCTGACCATGAAAACAAGCTAGACGGAAATGAAGTTGGAAGGAAGTTAACAGACAAGACAAAAAAGAGCAGAGTCAGGGTTGTGATGAGAAAAAAGACCAAGATCAGTATGAGTAAGAAATTTAGAATGGCTGACATTAAAGAGATTGTGGAAAAGGCAAGATACTCAGAATTGGAGACTGTGGAGATAGATGATGAGATCCAAGGATGGAGAGGAGTTGAGGATCATTGGTGTCAAGGAGGTAACGAACTGTGGAATCACCGACATGATAAAAATAAAAAAAGTGATAGGTTAAATTCACTGGGTAAGGAAAAAAAGTACCACAGAGTTCCAAATACCATGGCAGCTAGGAGAGAAGGAGGATGCATGAGACAGTCGGAAAGAGAAGAGATTGCTGAATTTCAACAGCCAGAACAATATTCAGGAATGGGCAATGGAGAAGGAAGAAGATTAATCCTCTTTCTTTGTCCTCTGTTAGCGATAAAAGAAGGGAAAAAGAGAAAGCTGTCCTGGCAAGAATTTCATGGGAGGTAACATCATTAATAAGAAAGCCAGGCTCACTTATAGAAGAGAGGTAGAAAGAGCATTTGTGAAAAATAAATCGAAAATATAGGAAAGTTTTATAAAAACAGGGGAAAATAACAGAATAACCATAGGATCTGGTAGCACAAAATGGCAAAGGCTGCCTCTATGACTCATTAGGGTTATTCACAAATATTCTGGTTTACAAAGCAGATACAAACATGGACTTGCATTAGCCAATTGAACGTAATCAAGTGACGTGTCATTTCCAGTGGTCGCTTTGCATGCTATGCACAGCTCACCATGTCTCTTGACCTAAGGCAATTCTAGAGGCATGTGTCATATGGAGCTTTGGTCATCAGGGTCCCTGAGTGATGCTGAAGAGCAGAACCCCCTTGCCAACCCAATATACACATTTTGCCTGAGTGAAAAATAAACCTTTTTTTTGTTCGAGCCACTAAAATTTGGGGAGTGTTTGTTTCTACAGCCTAAAGTGTTTTGATTAATAGGTAATTCAAGTAACTAGAGGACAAAAACACTTTTAGAAAGTGCTTGAAATGTGTTCTCCTCTTGAGTATATCTGTTTTACAACAGTTTTTTAAACATCACAAAATTGTCTTCAAGACACAAAGAAGAACTATGAGAATTTAGATAAGAATACTCCAATATTAGAATGCCCTAGTGCTCACTGATGGTTTAGGACCAGCAGGAGCAACACCTGGAGCCTACCCTCTCTTTCCCCAACCCCTATTCCCCACCCCAGTCTGTTAGCTTCATTAAGCCTAAGCCACAGACTCCAGGGAGAACAAAGGGGAAAGAGATCTCTCTGGCAGAAAGGTCTGGCCTGAGCTGGAGGTGGAAGAAATAGCGAAATAGCACAAAGGAACAATTTGCTCCTAGGTAGAGTCCAGAGAAAGAGAAGTGAACCAGAAATTGGGATGGGGGTTCACTAGACATAGAATCTGAAGCTCAAAGTGAGAAGGATAACTAGAACTCATCTAATCAATATTCAACAACTTGGCAGTGATCAGAAGACAGAATTTAGTTACTGGAGATCTTGAGAGCTGACAAAATCAACCAATTCCAATATTGGATGAGTAATCTGCTGTTTATTTTGGATTTGCTTTGTTTTTGTTTTCGTCTTTACTGTCTTTTTACAGACTGGAAGATGTGGTGAGCAGGATTCAGTGGCCTATGAGGCCTCCAGTTATACCTGCCATCACCTGTAAAAATTTTCACCGGTTTACATTTTAATTTTTTAAGATACCCTGGCCATGATGGTACAGAATAAAGGATCTTATTTCCTGGATCAAAAAAGCACAAAATATGTATCCTCCTTTTTCCATTGTTAATCAACTCTATTATATCTACTCTAATTTCTAAGCCTGTGAACTCTTGCTCAACTACCAAACATAGATGTTTGATGAAATGTCGGTTCCTGCCTGCTATGGGGTGATTCCATCAGGAAGTGGCAGACTCCCAAGCAGGATAGTCTCACTGAGAGCTGTCACTTGTGGCTTGTAATATACTGTACACTAATGACTTTGTGACTTTGTTATCCCTTTTCTTAGCTTCTCAAAGGACACCTGGCTCAACTGAACGACTAGCTTATCACTCTGTAG
Source organism: Homo sapiens (assembly GCF_000001405.40). Taxonomy (NCBI): domain Eukaryota; kingdom Metazoa; phylum Chordata; class Mammalia; order Primates; family Hominidae; genus Homo; species Homo sapiens. The sequence goes on from NC_000005.10 coordinate 88,111,361, forward strand.
GTCATCCCGACCCTTAGAAACAGAATTGAAGAGAGGAGGGAGCACCACGCAATTGTCACACCATTACTCCTAGCCCTAGAAATGCAATGATAAAGAAGTTCAGAGATGCAAAAGAGACGGCTGGAAAGGTTGGCTTCCTCCTTAGATTTGACAAGGATAATTCCAGAGCCTATAACTTCTAGTAATAAGGTTTCAAATTGACAGCATTTGGATGGATGGATGTTATTGACAGAGTTTTCTTTATGTTACTCTAAAGGCTCTCAGGAGTTAACATGATAGGCCACAGTCTAGAAGACAAAATGAGAGTCATTTATGCATTTTTGTGAGATGTGCATCAATGAGAAAAAAGAAATAGAAAATTTTGCATTTGAAGATTCTGAATAAGCATCACATATCTGTTATTGTTGCCATTAGACTACTTTCCTTTTATTTAGCATTTTCAAAGCCAAACACTATACCACAGGGTTTCTTTTGTTGACTTTACATCTTCTCTTTTTATAAATGAGTGGGGTCTGCCACCTTAATTATATAGAATGATATTTCTTCTCCTTTTTCATTTAAATTCTGTTTAAGCCAGGCATAAGGTACTACTTCCATCTAAACAAATTAGGTTAATGGAGTTTTGATAACTCAGCCACTTTTATTCAGAATAGGCCTAAATTATACATATGTGCTGCCAACTCAGAAAGGAGCTTTATTTGGAAATTACGGCTTTGGATAGATAAGATTTTTTCCAACTCTATATAATACTTACTTTTGACTTGCAATCACTTGTTATAGGCATTTTTGTAGTATAAAACCTGGACTATGGTTAAGTTTTACCAAAGCAAGAAATTATAGAGAATTATTTGTCAGACATATGCCCACAGTATGGAATATTTTCTCTTTTACTATCAAAAATGCACCAGGAAGGGTGTGGGTGTGCAACCTAAGCAGTAATTCCAGTTCTGCCATAAAAAAAAAAAAAAAAAAAAAAAAAAAAAAAAAAAAAAAAAAAAAAAAAAAAAAACAAGAAAGAAAGATTACTTAGGAATTCCAGAACACAATTGTGTGGCAGGACACAAATGTTCTTTTCATGCAGAAATAAATTGCTTTATTTACCTTCCCCCGCTTCTTGCATTAGAAGGATGAAACATAAATGTTTCCATTCTTCACCAGGGAATATTTGAAAATTAAATCTTCCATGAATTTGAGAAGGGGAGATAGCTCATGAAGTTGATTCTGGTTCTAAGGTTTATGGACCATCAATGTCTATTGAGAAAAAATAAAAGAAAAGACTTTAAGAATAAAGAGAAGGAGACTAGATGGAAGAGTGAAGGATAGGGTTCACCAGATGGGCTGCTGACATCTGGGGCCTGATTCTAGCAAAGTTAGCTGGAAGGGAGAGGGCCTATTGCCCTAGAAGACACAGTGAGGAGGATGAAATAGGAGCGTCTGCTTATGGCTGTCCTAGAATGCACTGGATTGTGAAGAGAGAAGAGCCTTCACTGACAACCACCCAGAACCACCAATCCACTCAGGCCAGAACCACCTATATTAGTTTCTTACCACTGCAGTAAGAAATTACCACAAACACAGTGGCTTAAAACAACACAAATTGAATCTGCTACAGGTCTGGGTGTCATGAGTACAAAATAAGGCTTAAAGGTTCTGGAAGAGCTGATTCCTTCTGGAGGCTCTCAAGAGAATTCACTTTTTGTCTTTTCTAGCTTTGATTCCTTGCCTCATGGCCCTGCATCACATCATTTTTCTCTCACTGCTTCTGTAATCACATCACCTTCCACTTTTGAATAATTACAGTCCTGGTATAAGAACTCTTGTGACTATGTTTAGGGCCCACCTGGATAATCCAGAATAACCTCTACTTAACAAGATCCTTAACTTAATCACGTGTGCAAAGGCTCTGACCAGGGACAATAGTTAATGACCCCACAGATAGAATAACATTGACCATGTGTTGAAAAAAAAAAAGTTAACTTCAATCCCAAAAAGTTAATATAATTAGAATAATGTCCAATGATAAAGCCAACTTTGAGTTGTAGTGGAATTATAAGAGAAATATCTTAGTGTGGAGTTCCAGGATCTCCTTAGTCTATTATTTTGTTAATTATTTAAATTAACAAAGTTAATTCATTTAAATACCTGCAAATTAGCTGAAATAATGCATGTTCTAAAGAGGAAGACAAATCATTATTTTTCTATAACTGGTCATTGGAAAAACCATTTAATGCACACCTAGTCCAGTTCGTGGCACTGTTGCATATTAGGTTTGGTTGGCCCAGCAGCAGTGTCAAGCTATTCACAGATTCCCATGGTTCTTGAATCCCTTTCTAGCCAGGAGAGTAGCAACATGTTCCCTACCTTGGAGAGGTGTAAATCTGAAGCACAAGTGAACTGATATTCCAATAATATCAGACCCTTTTAAAAGCTCAACACTCAAAAAAGATGTGGAAAAGGTTATGTTTGAAGACAATACACAGCACAGGCATCTTACAGTAAATTTTATTAGGTTTTTAAAGAGAATTATAGATGATAATGGATCTGTGGGATAATAGATAGTCCCGGAGGAACTACAAAGCTGTGATGCACGTGAGGGCCTCCACTAATGCTGTAAACAGTGAAAGTGTAGGCCCAGCAGTTTATGAATAGTCAATGTATTCAAAAAAGAAATTCAGCTTCATATTAACGTTGTTATAATCTACTGATATTTAATTCTTAGTAATGATTTTATTGATTTTCATATTTTAGTAATGCAAGCAAATAAAATGCCTTAGAACCTCAGAGATACTATTAGAAATAAAAGCATTTGCATTTTTTCCTATAAGTAGGCTATTATATTAGCTTTTCATTCATTTATTTATTCATTCATTTTTTCAGTCATTAAATAAATCTTTTCTGAGCATTTGCTGTCCTGATAGATGTATGGACACACATAATTGTTATCACTTAATTATCTATAGTTTTACAATTTACAAGACATTTTCCAGGTATTATCCCACTTAATAGCTATGAGGTGGGTATTTTTGCCATCTTTTATGGAAGGGGAAACTGAAGGTTCACATTATCAAGAATCTTCCAAAAGGTCAGCTTGTCTTGGGGAACAGGCAGAGCTATAATTTAACCTCAATTATCTGTTTCCAGAGCCATCACAGCACACTGTTTGATTTCTCCCAGCCTTTTGAAATCTTAGTGTCTTCAAGGAGTCTTACAATACAAGGTAAGAAACCTCTATACCACAGTCTCAAGAATGTGCAAGTATTTTTCCAGGCTCCTAGGTATCATAATTCACAGTTTCTGGAGAATTACCCTTTCCAGTACCTCTCCTCAAACCAAAAGTTAACCACCTTTTCAACTTTCATCTAAGGTTTTATCTCTCGATTAACAGCCATTTTCCACAATGAAGCACAGCTTGTAATGAGTTCACAAAACTTACTGCCTGTATTACAATAAGGAAAAAACATCGAAGCCTCACTGAGGTCTCAATTTTATGCAGCGCATGACTTAGTCCCCAGTGAGAAAATTCACCCCTGCATGCCAGCTTTGCAGCAGACAAGATTTGGGATTATACCTTAGAAATGTTACAAAGACCGTTGAATTGCACCTTTGTGGGGTCCTGTGAGTAATCAAATTTAAATGTTAAATCCATGAGTGGTCAGCCTCTGTGATATGGAGAAAGTGCAGAAGTTGAAAGAAAGGGGAAATTACAACTAATGAGAACAAGGAAGACTTATGGAGAAAGCAGTCATGGAGCTGAGCATTGATGTCTAAGTTGGTGTTCAGTGGAAGACTGTGGGGAAGAGATCCCAAGAGGAGAAAATGTCGTGAGCAAAGGCATGAACAAGGGATAAGCTGGTTCTATTCTGGGTTCACTAAGCCGCCAATGGGAGAGTAAAGTAGGAGATAAACTAAGGGAGTAAAAGGAGCTGGAATGAACTGTATTTACTAGCAATAGAAGTTACTGGAAGTTTAAGACGAGGGTGATGTACTCAAGGAAGCACATTTGGCAGAAATGCAAGGTGGATTTAAAAACCTGAGAGCTTTCCAATCTTCCTATTTCTCACTAACAAATATGGAGACTAAAAATAGCAGCTACTTATGGTCCTGGCTGCATTTGCACTACGGCATAAGAAAGTGAACAAATCCTGGCTAATGAGATATAGAGGGAAATCTTCTGAGAGTTATCTGGGAAAGCTTTTCTCCCTTGATAAGGAAGACTCATGAAGAGAAATCCTCCCTCTCCCTTCCTGCAGCGAAATGCTCTTGTGTGAGAACCTGATGCACGGAGCCGCAGCAGCTATACTGTGACCATAAAGGGAAGGTCAGGGAAGTCGCAGAAAACCACTCCAGAGCCCTGACACTGCAGACCTATTGAAGCAACCGTGGAAACTCCTGCTTAAAATCTTCTTTATGTGAAAGGAAAATTAAATCCTGATGATTAAAGCTACTTTTAGTTTGTTCTTGTGTTAGCTTCAACCAAAAGTAGCCTGACACCAGAGGCTACAACAATGATGCTGGTGAAAGGTAGCAATTTCCAGGATGGTGCCAATGAATTTGGAAGTAGTGGGATGTTTGTTTGTTTTGTTTTGTTGTTTTGGCTTTTAGAGACAAGGTCTGGCTCTGTCACCTAGGCTGGAGTGCAGTGGCGCAACCATAGCTCACTGCAGCCTCAAATTCCTGGGCCCAATAAACACTCCTGCTTCAATCTCCTATGTAGTTGAGACTACTGGCTTGTGCCACCAAGCCCAGCTAATTTTTTTATTATTTGTAGAGATGAGGGTAAGGCTATGTTTCCCAGGATGGTCTCAAACTCTTGGCCTCAGCCAATCCTCCCACCTCAGCCTCCCAAGGTGCTGGGATTACAGGTGGGGATGTGGGCAAGATATGAGATAAAAATAAATAGAACCCCATGGACTGATTGGCAACATTGTATATAAGTTTCCTTCACAGTGAAACTAGAAATCATCAATCTGTAATCAATGAGTTTTGTTTATAATCTTGGCAAGTAAAATAAATGTATGTAAATGTGAAGGTAAGGAAACCTGAGAACAACCAAGTCTAACCCAGAATGTAAACCTAGGTGGCAGGCATGGAATGTGATCATTATGAAGAAAGGCATAATTTAATAAATTGTATTGTGCCTAACTGAATTACAAAATTGTTCAAATTGGAGTTCATGGCCAGGAACCTACAACAATAACCCAGAAAAGGATGAGTCAGTGTTTACCCAGCACATTCTAAGAAAAGAGTCCTCTACCTGGAGGCTGTGGGAAGATCTACAGCCAGATTTGGAATATGTTGACCTCACCAAGCAATTTCCATCCTTTAGACATTGTTTGGATGTAAGGGAAACAGGTGGTCTTCTACTTTGATATACTTAATCAGTTCTCCCAACTTCAGCAAAATAAATGCACAAGGAAAAAAAGAAAGTGTGTAAAACTCAGACCATAGTCTTTGAACTGGTAGCTACAGAATGATAATTTCAGTAACAAATAGAGAATTCTGAAAGGTGAAGATGGGCTGAGACTAAAGTCGGTTTGGGCCATGTCAAGTTTTAGAGGCAAGTGAGAATACAAATATGTAGATCTCTGGAAGGTGACTGGAAACACTCACCTTCTAGATGACAGGAACTCCAGGTCTGGAGTTCATGGGAAAATGCTGATTAAAGAAAGGCCTATTTTATCTGAAGCTGTAAAATTGGTCAGATTGCCATGAGAACTAAACAGAAAACCAAGATGGAAGAAGAAGCTCATGTTTGCTGAGTATCTACCACATGTTTGGCACACCCCCAAGAGTTAATCATGTTATAAATTTAACCTCACAACAATACTATAAGGAAAAAAATTACAAATACCATTTGTAAGAGAGCAAACAAGGGTTCCAAAAACTTACACGTACTTGCCAAGTTACAAGAGGTAGCACAACCAGGATTCACATGCCAGTCAAAAACCAGAAGCTTCTGTAATCTTTCAAATGCACATGCTAAAACACTGAGTTGTAAGACTGCCAACACACTCATTCTTAATTTTTATTGTTACGAAATCATTTTACAAGACTGAAAGCATAAATATAAATTTTGTATGAAGAGCCTAGAAAAGGCTTTATTCACCCGATTTTACATTTGAGGAAACATGCAGAAGGTCTACATTCAGTGAGTTCCAATCAGAAGTCTAATACTATCATTGGATAAATGTTATTGAACCTCTATCATACATGGGAAATGAAAGCTACTAAGATCCCACTCTCAACAAATTTACAACAAAAGCTACCAAGAGCCCACCCTCAACAAATTTACAATCCTAGCTGGAGGTATGATACATATATACATAAGAAAACTAACAATACCAGATAGTATATGATAAACTATTGGAGTCATATATTTACATTGTTTCAAATAACTGGCTGCTCCAAATATCACTCTAGCATTTAGATTGTTCCCCATAAATGAGTCACTGAAGGCTAAAATGTCTAATAGTAAACTTCTCTAAGAAAGTATATTCAAATCTCTATTATTTTCTCATGCAATATATGCAATATGGTATATTAGCCCATTCTGGCATTACTATAAAGAAATACCTGAAACTGGGTAATTTGTTTAAAAAAGGGGTTTAATTGGCTCACAGTTTTTCAGGCAGTACAGGAAGCATGGCTGGAGAGGCCTCAGGAAACTTTCAATCATGGCAAAAGAAGCAGGCACATCTTACATGGCCAGAGCAGGAGGAAGACAGAGAAGGGGGAGGTGCCACATACTTTTAAACAACAAGATCTCCTGAGAACTCACCACTGTCATGAGAACAACAAGGGAAAAACACACTCCCATGATCCCATCACCTCCCACCAGGCCCTTCCTCCAACACTGGGGATTACAATTCAGTATGAGATTTGGGCAGGGACACAAATCCAAACCATATCATATGGAATCACAACGTTGTCATGGAGTATTTGCTTTCACCCATTACATATTTATCTATCTAAGCATGCCTATTTACTCTTATTACATCATTACTAAGTCATTGGTTCAACATGTCAGGTCATAGGCACCTGAAGTATGTTAAACATTGTGTTAGGCTCCAGAGATAAGAAGATGAAGAGAGTATTGTTCTTACCCGAGAGGGGCTCACAGGGTCACAGGGAGAATACAGCATAGTTAGTTATCACATGGCTCACTAGAAACATACTCCACAGTTTACAGCAAATTGTGCATTTACACTAAATACACATTTCAACATGTTTTTTAAAAAGTATGCTTTTTGATCTAGGGAAATTACAGACTTCTGATTGGAACCAGTATTAATAAGATGCCAAGGCAAATATATCCTTTGCAGAAAACTAAAATTTCCTGGCATATTTGCCACAAGACTAGGATAAAAAAAATTATACAAGGAAACATTTTTTTTTAATGCAGCATCTTTATACCATGTTTTGAAGTAATCCTTAATGAATGTGGTCGTATTTTCTGATTGGAATGAATCCACTTTACAACTTTTAAAGATAAGAACAAGCATTCATATGTGTACCAGAAAACTGAAACAGAAAAAGTAGGGAAACAAACAATAACAAAAGATTTTAGAGGTCAGATAATTAAAGAGCAGGATTCTGTGAATCTATTCATTATGTTAATATTGAAAAATGTAACTAAGCACCTCCAAGTTATTGATAAATACTCCATAGATATTTCATACCAAATGTGATCCTCATCTGTAGTATTGAAGAAAAACTCTTTTAACGGCAGTAAAAAAGTCCTTATAGCAACAAAAAAACAATGTCACATAACCAACTCATGCCTCTTTTGTAAATTGGTTTTAGTACTATTTTTAATGTTCTTTTGAAGAGAGAAAACCCATGAAGCCTATAATACAGGTATTTGAAGTATTTATACAGTAAAATAACGTAACAAATATGCTTCCCTCTTTCCTCTCTGCATCCTTTCTGCTCCTCTTTCATTAGACTGACTGCGTTGAATGTCTATTATACTGGTTGAATCTGCTCAAAATATAAATAAAGAAATTAGATAAAAATTATCCACACTAAGTTGTTAAGAGAGAATAACACAGAAAAAAAAATATGTGTTTAGCATATGGAAATGAATCCCTTAAGGTACGGAGTTTAAGGAAACATTGGGAAACGTCTCTTTGTCCAGACACCTCAGAATACCCTCAAATCATTCCTGCATATGCATGAGTATGCCACCCTTTTTATGCCACCTTTTTGTCAATAAACAAGGACTGCCATCCTCCAAAAATATAAAAGGTTGAAAAATAAAATAGGGCTAACAATAAGCTCTGCCTATACAACACATTCAAAGAGAACCAGACGGAAAAATTGAGTCACCATGATTATCATGGCCAAATTTTTTAGAGTTCCTAGAACAGTCCCAATAATAAATATTCTGCCCATTGTTGTGGAAAAAAAAAAAAAGCTTAAATGCCCAGGAAATGTCACTATGTTGGCCAGTTTCCCAGACTACCTCTCATACCTGAAAAGAAAGATTCTCTGTCATCCTAAGTATTCCAATAGAGACTTAAGAAAATTCTTCACTATATGTGAGCCACACAATAAAAACTACAGTTAAGAAAAACAGATGGCTGGCAAGATGGCCAAAAAGGAACAGCTCCAGTCTGCAGCTCCCAGCAAGATCAACGCAGAAGGCGGGTGATTTCTGCATTTCCAACTAAGGTACCCGGCTCATCTCACTGGGAATGGTTAGACAATGGGTGCAGCCCATGGAGGGCAAGTCAAAGCAGGGTGGTGCATCACCTCACCTGGGAAGTGCAAGGAGTCGGTGAACTCCTTCCCCTAGCCAAGGGAAGCCATGAGGGACTGTGCCGTGAGGAAGGGTGCATTCTGGCCCAGATACTACACTTCTCCCATGGTCTTCACAACCCACAGACCAGGAGATTCCCTCAGGTGCCTAGATCACCAGTTTTCAAGCACAAAACTTGGTGGCCATTTGGGCAGACACTGAGCTAGCCAAACGGAGTTTTTTTTCATACCCCAGTGGTGCCTGGAACGAAAGCAAGAAGGAACCCTTCGGTGCCCTGGAAAGGTAACTGAAGCCAGGGAGCCAAGTGGTCTCACTCAGCGGATCCCACTCCACAGATCCCAGCAAGCTAAGATCCACTGGCTTGAAATTCTCAGTGCCAACACAGCAGTCTGAAGTCTACCTGGGATGCTTCAGCTTGGTAGGGGGGGGGGGGCATCCACTATTACTGAGGCTTGAGTAGGCGGTTTTCCCCTCATAGTGTAAACAAAGCCACCAAGAAGTTTGAACTGGGCGGAGCCCACAACAGCTCGGTAAAGGCACTGTACCAGATGGCCTCTCTAAATTCCTCCTCTCAGGGCAGGGCATCTCTGAAAGAAAGGCAGCAACCCCAGTCAGGGGCTTATATATGAAACTCCCATCTCCCTGGGACAGAGCATCTGGAGGAAGGGGCAGCTGGGGGCACCACTTCAACAGACTTAAACATTCCTGCCTGCCAACTCTGAAGAGAGCAGTGGATCTACCAGCACAATGCTCAAGCTCTGCTAAGGGACAGACTACCTCCTCAAGTGGGTCCCTGACCCCCAGGCCTCCTGACTGGGAGACACCTCCCAGCAGGGATCAACAGATACCTCATACATTAGATGTCCAGCTGGCATCTGGCAGGTGTCCCTCTGGGAGGAAGCTTCCAGAGGAAGGAACAGGCGGCAATCTTTGCTATTCTGCAGCCTCCGCTGGTGATACCCAGGAAAACAGGGTCTGGAGTGGACCTCCAGCAAACTTCATCAGATCTGTAGCAGAGGGGCATGACTGTTAGAAGGAAAACTAACAAACAGAAAGGAATAGCAACAACATCAACAAAAAGGATGTCCACACAAAAACCCCATCCAAAGGTCACCAGCATCAAAGACCAAAGGTAGATAAATCCAGGAAGATGAGGAAAAATCAGCAAAAAAAAAAGGCTGAAAATTCCAAAAACCAGAATGCCTCTTCTCCTTCAAAGGATCACAGCTCTTCACCAGCAAGGGAACAAAACTAGATGGAGAATGAGTTTGACAAATTGACAGAAGTAGGCTTCAGAAGGTGGGTAATAACAAACTTCTCCAAGCTAAAGGAGCATGTTCTAACCCAATGCAAGGAAGCTAAGAACCTTGAAAAAAGGTTAGAGGAATTGCTAACTAGAATAACCAATTTAGAGAAGAATATAAATGACCTGATGGAGCTGAAAAACACAGCACGAGAACTTCGTGAAGCATACACAAGTATCAATAGCCGAATTGATCAAGCGAAAGAAAGGATGTCAGAGATTGTAGATCAACTGAATGAAAGAAAGTGAGAAAACAAGATTAGTGAAAAGAAATGAACAAAGCCTCCAAGAAGTGTGGGACTATGTGAAAAGACCAAATCTATGTTTGATTGGTGTACCTGAAAGTGACAGGGAGAATGGAACCAAGTTGGAAAACACTCTGCAGGATATTACCCAGGACAACTTCCCCTACCTAGCAAGGCAGGTCAACATTCAAATTCAGGAAACACAGAGAATGCCACAAAGATACTACTCGAGAAGAGTAACCCCAAGACACATAATTGTCAGATTCGCCAAAGTTGAAATGAAGGAAAAAATGTTAAGGGCAGCCAGAGAGAAAGGTAGGGTTACCCACAAAGGGAAGCCCATCAGACTAACAGTGGATCTCTCTAGAGTAACCCTACAAGCCAGAAGATAGTGGGGGCCAATATTCAACATTCTTAAAAAAAAGAATTTTCAATCCAGAATTTCATATTCAGCCAAACTAAGCTTCATAAGTGAAGGAGAAATAAAATCCTTTACAGACAACCAAATCCTGAGAGTTTTTGTCACCACCAGGCCGGCCTTACAAGATCTCCTGAAGGAAACACAAGATATGGAAAGGAAAAACCAGTACCAGCCACTGCAAAAAAATACCAAATTGTAAAGACCATCAAAACTATGAAGAAACTGCATCCACTAACGGGTAAAATAACCAGCTAGCATCTTAATGGCAGGATCAAATTCACACATAACAATATTAACCTTAAATGTAAATGGGCTAAATGCCCCAATTAAAAGGCACAGACTGGCAAATTGGATAGAGTCAAGACCCATCAGTGTGCTGCATTCAGGAGACCCATCTCACGTGCAAAGACACACATAGGCTCAAAATAAAGGGATGGAGAATATTTACGAAGTAAATGGAAAGCAAAAAAAGGCAGGGGTTGCAACCCTAATAGCTGATAGAACAGACTTTAAGCCAACAAAAATAAAAAAAGCCAAAGAAGACCATTACATAATGGTAAAGGGATCAATGCAACAAGAAGAGCTAACTATCCAAAATATATATGCACCCAATACAGGAGCACCCGGATTCATAAAGCAAGTCCTTAGAGACCTACAAAGAGACTTAGACTCCCACACAATAATAATGGGAGACTTTAACACCCCACTGTCAACATTAGACACATCAGTGAAACAGAAAGTTAACAAGGATATCCAGGAATTGAACTCAGCTCTGCACCAAGTGGACCTAATAGCCATCTACAGAACTCTCCACCCCAAATCAACGGAATATACATTCTTCTCAGCACCACATCACACTTATTCCAAAACTGACCACATAGTTGGAAGTAAAGCACTCCTCAGTAAATGTAAAAGAACAGAAATTATAACAAACTGTATCTCAGACCACAGTGCAATCAAACTAGAACTCAGGATTAAGAAACTCACTCAAAACCACTCAACTACATGGAAACTGAACAACCTGCTCCTGAATGACTACTGGGTACATAACAAAATGAAGGCAGAAATAAAGATGTTCTTTGAAACCAATGAGAACAAAGACACAATGTACCAGAATCTCAGGGACACAGCTAAAACAGTGCTTAGAGAGAAATTTATAGTGCTAAATGCCCACGAGAGAAAGCAGGAAAGATCTAAAATTGACACCCTAACATCACAATTAAAAGAACTAGAGAAGCAAGAGCAAACAAATTCAAAAGCTAGCAGAAGACAAGAAATAACAAAGATCAGAGCAGAACTGAAGGAGACAGAGACATGAAAAACCCTTCAAAAAATCAATGAATCCAGGAGCTGGTTTTTTGAAAATATTAACAAAATAGATAGAACACTAAGCAGACTAACAGAAGAAAAGAGAGAAGAATCAAATACACACAATAAAAAATGATAAAGGAGATATCACCACTGATCCCACAGAAATACAAACTACCATCAGAGAATACTATAAACACCTCTATGTAAATAAACTAGAAAATCTAGAAGAAATTGATAAATTCCTAGACACATATAACCTCCCAAGACTAAGCCAGGAAGAAGTCAAATCCCTGAATAGACCAATGACAAGTTCTGAAATTGAGGCAGTAATTAATAGCCTACCAACAAAAACAGCCTAGGACTGGACGGATTTACAGCTGAATTCTACCAGAGGTACAAAGGGGAGCTAGTACCATTCCTTCTGAAACCATTCCAAACAATAGAAAAATAGGGACTGCTCCCAAACTCATTTTTTGAGACCAGCATCATCCTGATACCAAAACCTGACAGAGACACAACAAAAAAAGGAAATTTCAGGCCAATATGCCTGATGAAAATCAATGCAAAAATCCTCAGTAAAATACTGGCAAACCGAATCCAGCAGCACATTAAAAAACTTCATCCCTGGGATGCAAGGCTGGTTAAACATACACAAATCAATAAATGTAATCCATCACATAAACAGAACCAATGATAAAAAACACATGATTATCTCAATAGATGCAGAAAAGGCCTTTGATAAAATTCAACACCCTTCATGCTAAAAACTCCCAATAAACTAGGTATTGATGGAATGTATCTCAAAATAATAAGAGCTATTTATGACAAACCCACAGCCAATATCATGCGAATGGCCAAAAGCTGGAAGCATTCCTTTTGAAAACCAGCACAAGACAAGGATACCCTCTCTCACCACTCCTTTTCATCATAATATTGGAAGTTCTGGCCAGGGAAATCAGGTTAGAGAAAGAAGTAAAGGGTGTTCTAATAGGGGGAGAGGAAGTCATATTTTCTCTGTTTGCAGATGACATGATTGTATATTTAGAAAACCCCACTGTCTCAGCCCAAAATCTCCTCAGGCTGATAAGCAACTTCAGCAAAGTCTCAGCATACAAAATCAATGTGCAAAAATCACAAGCATTCCTATAAACAAATAACAGACAAACAGAGAGCCAAATCATGAGTGAACTCCCATTCACAATTGCTACAAAGAAAATAAAATACATCGGAATACAACTTACAAGGGACGTGAAGGCCCTCTTCAAGGAGAACTACAAACCACTGCTCAATGAAATAAAAGAGGATACAAACAAATGGAAGAACATTCCATGCCCATGAATCAGAAGAATCAATATCACGAAAATGGCCATACTGCCCAAAGTAATTTATAGATTCAGTGCTATCCCCATCAAGCTACCATTGAATTTCTTCACAGAATTAGAAAAAAACTACTTTACATTTTATATGGAACCAAAAAAGAGCCTGTATAGGCAAGACAATCCTAAGCTAAAAGAACAAAGCTGGAGGCATCACGTTACCTGACTTCAAACTATACTACAAGGCTACAGTAACCAAAACAGCATGGTATTGTTACCAATATAGATATATAGACCAATGGAACAGGACAGAGGCCTCAGAAATAACACCACACATCTACAACCATCTGATCTTTGACAAACCTGACAAAAACAAGCAATGGGGAAAGAATTCCCTATTTAATAAATGATGTTGGGAAAACTGGCTAGCCATATGCAGAAAACTGAAACTAGACCCCTTCCTTACACCTAATACAAAAATTAACTCAAGATGGATTAAACACTTAAACATTAGACCTAAAACCACAAAACCTTAGAAGAAAACCTAGGCAATACCATTCAGGATATAGACATGGGCAAAGACTTCACGACTAAAACACCAAAAGCAATAGCAACAAAAGCCAAAATGGACAAATGGGATCTAATTAAACTAAAGAGCTTCTGCACAGCAAAAGAAACTCTCATTGGAGTGAACAGGCAACCTACAGAGTGGGAGAGAATTTTTGCAATCTATGCATCTGACAAAGGGCTAATATCCAGAATCTACAAGAAACTTAAACAAAATTACAAAAAAAAAAAAAAAATCAAAAAGTGGGCAAAGAATATGAACAGACATTTATGTGGCCAAAAAACATGAAAAAAGCTCATCATAGCTGGTAGTATTCCATGGTGTATATGTATCACATTTTCTTCATCCAGTCTATCATTGATGGGCATTTGGGTTGGTTTCAAGTCTTTGCTATTGTGAATAGTGCTGCAATAAACATACGTGTGCATATGTCTTTAGAGTAGAATGATTTATAATCCTTTGGGTATATACCCAGTAATGGGATTGCTGGGTCAAATGGTATTTCTGGTTCTAGATCCTTGAGGAATCGCCACACTGTCTTCCACAATGGTTGAACTAATTTACACTGCCATCAACAGTATAAAAATGTTCCTATAACATTGACACTCATTCCAGAACCCTTTTGCCAGATGATACAAACTGGTCTCTCATGAATATTTTATCATACTTTTACGAAAGGTTCAAGGAATAATACACTGTCTAAAACTTACAGGTCATTAAATTCTACTTACCAACATTTGGTAGTACCTAGAAGGGCAAGATTTCCCTGTTTAGGCCTTGGGAAGGTGATATGGTTTGGATCTGTGTTCTTGCCCAAATCTCACACTGAATTGTAATCCCCAGTGTTGGAGGTGTGGCCTGATAGGAGGTGATTAGGTCATGGGAGTGGATCCTTCATAAATAGTTTAGCACCATTTCTTTGGTGCTGTTCTCATGATAGAGATCTTATGAGATCTGGTGGTTTAAAAGTGTGTGGTACCTCCCTACCTCTCTATCTTCCATCTACTCCTGGCCAGGTGGAGTGCTGGCTCCCCCTTTGCCTTCTGCCATAATTGTAAGTTTCCTGTGGCCTCCTCAGAAGCCGAGCAGAAGCTGCTGTGCTTCCTGTACAGTCTGCAGGACCATAAGCCAATTAAACCTCTTTTCTTTATAAATTACCTAGTCTCAGGTACTTATTTATGGCAATGCAAGAAGGGAATAATACAGAGAATGTCAGGAAATGCC
The DNA here is from genome assembly GCF_000001405.40 of Homo sapiens. Classification (NCBI taxonomy): domain Eukaryota; kingdom Metazoa; phylum Chordata; class Mammalia; order Primates; family Hominidae; genus Homo; species Homo sapiens. The sequence goes on from NC_000005.10 coordinate 88,126,510, forward strand.
CTCTCCCTCCCTTACTCTCACCTTTCTCCCAATTATCTTTGGGTTTCCTTTACTTGTCTTCTCTTTAGTCCCTCTCCACGTAGCACATGCCTCTCTTCCCATGACAAAACATGAGTCTCCAGCCTGGTCTAATTCATTTTGCAAACTCTGCCACCTCAGACTTCATTGAGAATTCAGAGAGGTCTGTCTCTACTAGGCTTCCTCTGAATCAGTGGTCTTGGAAAGGGCAGATAATTATAGGTCAACTAGAACATCTTCACTAGTAATGCTGCAACTCACTTCCCTCCTAAATACTTGATGATTTACACCTCTTATCACAGAGAGGGTTCATTTTCTTTCAAAGACCCCAGGGACTGGTCTCCTGAGCAAGGCACTGCCTAATCTTCATGAGGACTGTGTATATCAACTATAAACATGACTTTGATACTTATTCTTTGTGAAATGATACCTCTAATCTTAGAATATTTAAAACCCATAGCTTTCTTGGCCTGGTTGTTATTACAAAGGGTAGCTACATTAACTGAAAATACTCCTGCCTGAGCCATTCAAAATGAATCTAGCCAGGCTCAAAGAGTATCCCCCGCAACATCCTAGTTTCTCTCAGGACATCAGATGTGATATTTACCTGATGCAGATTCAGCTGACCTATAGAAATCAAGTCCAAATAAATTCTATTTAGAAATAACCCTAAATTAAAAAACAAGAGCTGCTTCAAATGACCCAAGCATATTTTCTGTATCCATACTTCCTGTTATGATAGCTATGATACCATACTTATTCTTGGTCACTCTAAGTATCTGAAGAAAAACATGTTTATCAATCCAGAAAGTTATTAATCTAGATAAAGTGTTAAAAAGTTTTTCCTGTGATGGTTCAGATAGTAAATATAGTCTCTGTCACAACTACCCAACCCTGCCATTGTACCTTGAAATATGCCATAAACAATACCTAGGTGAATAGATGTGGCTGTGTTTCAATAACACTTTATTTACAAAAATAGGAAATGGGCCATGTTTGGCCTGAAGGCAGTAGTTTCCCAGACCCTGTCCTAGATTATTACTGTAGATTTGAGATTTTAAAAGAGACCTTAGGTTGGCATTGATTTAAAGGTTATTATCAAAGGTATAGGAGGGTGCCTACCAGTATAGATCTATTTACTTGCAAAACAAGAGTTTTTAAAAGCAGAATTCTAAAACTTCATGAAAACTCTGAAAACATGTAGTTTATGTACTTTATTTTACAGATAAGAAAAATGTGCAACAGATTTTAGTAAAGAACCAGATACACCAACCCCCAATTCAAAATTATCAAAATTCAAAAACCTTATCACAAAACTGAGGAAGCAGAACACACATGTATGTTAGTAATTCTGGTGATATTACTCAGTTATATCATAAAGGGTCTCTGGTCTATGCATATCTAAAATTAAATGGAATCTCCAGCTACTTCTCCAGTTCCTTACTGCAATCTAAAATAGCCTTCAAATATTAGGAAAGGGCTGATCCCATAGAAAATCCCATTCCTCGCCCTAAAGATGTATATATGCATCTACACACACACCTTACACAAAGTTATTGTGGGTTTCAAAAATTCAGCTGAGGTCAATACAGGTATAAAATTTTTACTTAAGTATATCTTGACTCTGGCCAGCAAGAGTTATTGCCACAGTGTAAGTGCACCAAAATGCCAGAAGTAATAATATTTAGAATTAGGTCAATGAAAACTTAAAATATAACATAAAATTGTTAACAGTGATTTGATTTTTAATAATGTATATTTTACTTATTAACCTTTTTTCTGTATTTCCTAGTATGTTTTCAAATTTGCATGCACTAGCTCTACAAATATAAAAAGAATTAACTCAAAAATCAGAACATATTATATAATTTTAAAAACTTTTTAAAGAAATAATATCACATTCATTTCTGTATCACTAATTCCTAGCAAGATACACATAGTAAGCATTCAATAAATAAACACATTTATGGCAGGTAACTTGAGAATGTTCTCAATTAAACAGGCTACATTAGTGAAGGTATTTAAACACTAAAAAATTCTAACAAAATCATTCTCATCTTTATTTCTAATATCCATTGTTAGCATGCAAAACTATTTGCCTTTATTAAACTCTAAAGTTATATTTCACAGCTGTGTTTTTGTAGCTGTGAAATTTAGTCCTCCGAGTATATCTTAGCTATTTACATTTTAGCTGTGAAATAAAGATTTTGTTTTTAGCCAGCTAGCAAGAGCACTTTTGTTACATCAGTTTCAAAAACTGTCAAATCAGAAATAGCAGCTTTAAATATATCAAAGTGTACTTTGCTTTTTCTCATGTGATAATATCTGCTATACAATATTAATTAAGTTGAACATTTAAACTACTTTTTCATACTTCTATGGAAATTTCTGTTACATTCTGAACAAAGAAAACATCCAATGTAAGGAAAATGGCACAGGTCATTGCCGCTTCTTCATCGATAAAGTACACAAAAAATTCTCTGTTCCAAGGCAAAGTTCATATGTACATGAGCACAAACAAATATTTTACTAAGGAACAAACCAACCCAAGTGTAACTTAGCATGGGTAGCAATATCCATGTGCAAACTCACCTGGGAGTGGTAAGAAATGCAGATTCTCAGGACCCAGGCCATTCAAATCTTGAAGCAAATCTGATTTTAATGACAACTCAGGGGATTCAGGTTCACAATAAATTTGAGATGCATTGGTCTACAACTAGAGAGTCTCAACAAGAATTTTGGACAAAATATGCAAGCTGTGCCTTCACAGATGTAATCAGACTAGGTTGGTCACAAATACACCAGAATATTTGTATTCAGATTTCCCATTCTTAGTGTAGTCACATTAGGGAGCTCTATACTTATTACCCTCACACTCCATTGCTGGCACTATATTTGAATATCCCCTTTTGGCCTCAGTAAGACTCAAAAAATGTGTCATTACTTTACAGTTTCACCTCCTTTTCTACCAAAAACAGCTTTTCATGCTGATTTTATTCAAAAAACAAAGCCAAATAATATTGGGCTCTTTCCAAAATAAAATCCATTTTCAAGTATAAATATTTGCTCTCTTTAAAAGTAACAAAAAGATTGGACTGTAGGATCTAAAAAATCTGAAGAAGAATTCAAAAAGTGCTTGAACAATGGCAGCATAATTGTAATATAACAAGTGACTCCTATAAAAAGAGAAACTTTCATTTATGTGTATAACTAAGTTTTTGCATTTTTGTTTTTTAAATGGGGTGTACCACTGAAGACTTAACTGATTAACAGAATGACCTGCTGAAGACTTAAGTGGTGCTTTGTTACTGCCTCTGCAGCAAGAGGATGCCATGAAGTTTTCTATTCTGTTCTTCAGAGATGGAATCTTCTGAGATGGAGAATACCCCCTAGCATGGCGTATCTTTGGTGGGTCTTTGGATGATATATGAAATAAAAGGATGGGCACCAACATCTGAATCATGAGGAAATCACCCTTATTTAAGGGATCATCCTGGCCTAGAGCTCTGTGCAGTGCAATATGGTAAAAGGAAGCAATGCCACAAGGCCCTAGAAGATACCAGGCACCAGGGTTCTTCTAGGAAAAGACTGGCTATATCAGTTCATTCTCACATTGCTATATGGAAGTACTTGAGACTGGGTAGTTTATAAAGAAAAGGGGTTTAATTGACACACAGTTCTATAGACTGTTACAGGAGACATTACTGAGGAGGCCTCAGGAAACGTACAATCATGGCGGAAGGTGAAGGGGAAGCAAGCACATCTTAACATTGTAACAGGGGAAAGAGAGTGAAGCGGAAGTTGCCACACACTTTACAACAACCAGATCTTGTGAGAACTTTATCATGAGAACAGCAAGGGAGAAGTTCACCTCCATGATGCAATCACCTCCCACCAGGCACCTCCTCCAACACTGGGGATTACAATTAGCCATGAGACTTGGCTGGGGACAGAGATCCAAACCATATCATTCCACCCATGGTCCCTCCCAGGTCTCATGTCCTTCTTACATTTTAAAACACAACCGTGCCTTCCCAACAGTCCCGCAAAGTCTTAACTCATCCCAGCATTAACTCAAAAGTCCAAGTCCAAAGTCTCATCTGAGATAAGGCAAGTCCCTTCTGCCTATGAACCTGCAAAATAAAAAACAAGTTAGTTACTTTCAAGATACATTGGGGGTGCAGACATTGGGTAAATGCTCACATTCTGAAAAGGAGAAATTGGCCAAAACAAAGGAGCTCCAAGCCCATGAAAGTCTAAAATCCAGCAGGGCAGTCATTAAGCCTTAAAGCTCCAAAATCATCTCCTTTGACTACAAGTCTCACATCCAGGGCACAGTGATGCAAGGGGTGGGCTCCTAAGGTCTTTGGAAGCTCTGCTCCTGTGGCTCTGCAGAGTAAAGCTCCTGCTTTCACAGGCTGGCATTGAGTGCCTGCAGCTTTTCCAAGCACATAGTGCAAGCTGTTGGTGGATCTATCATTCTGGGGTCTGGAGGGTGGTGACCCTCTTCTCACAGCTCCACTAAGCAGTGCCCCAGTGGGGACTTTGTATGGGGGCTCCAACCCCATATTTCCCCTCCACATTGCACTAGTAGAGGTTCTCTATGATGGTTTTGTCCCTGCTGCAGACTTCTGCCTGAACATCCAGGCCTTACAATATATCCTCTGAAATTTAGGCAGAGGCTTCCAAACCTCAACTCTTGTCTTCTGTGCACCCACAGGCCCAATACCACATGGAAGCCATCCCAAGGCTTGGGACTTGCAACCTCTGAAGCAATGACCTAAGTTGTATTTTGGCCCTTTTAGCCATGGTTGAAGCTGAAGTGGCTGGAATGCAGGGCACCATGTCTTAAGGTTACACAGGGCAACGGGGCCCTGGGCCTGGCCCATAAAACCAGGAAAAAATACAGTTTTTCCTTCCTAGGCCTCCAAATCTGTGATTCAAAGGCCTCTGAAATGGCCGGGAAGCATTTTCCTCACTGTCTTGGCTATTAACATTCAGCTCATTTTTACTTATGCAGCTTTCTGCAGCCTTGAGTTTCTCCCCAGTAAATGGGTTTTTCCTTTCTACTGCATGGTTGGGCTGCAAATTTTCCAAATGTTTATGCTCTGCTTGCCTTTTAAATATAAGTTCTAGTTTCAGGTTATTTCTTTGTTTATGCAAATGAGTGTAGGCTTTTGGAAGCAGCCAGGTTACATCTTGAATGCTTTGCTGCTTAGGAATTTCTTCCACTAGAGACCCTAAATCATTTCTCTCAAGTTCACAGTTCCACAGATCTCTAGAGCAGGTGCACAATGCTGCCAGACTCTTTGCTAAAGCATAGCAAGAGTGACCTTTACTCCAGTTCCCGATAAGTTCCTCATCTCTATCTGAGATAACCTCAGCCTGGACTTCACTGTCCATATCACTATTAGCATTTTGGTCCAACTATTCAACAAGTCTATAGGAATTTCCAAACTTTCCTTCATCTCCCTGTCTTCTTCTAATCCCTCCAAACTGTTCCAACTTCTGCCCATTACCCAGTTCCAAAGTCACTTTCATATTTTCAGGTATATTTATAGGAATGCACTACTTCTCTAGTATTTCTGTAGAGAAATAAACTAATACAATTAGTTTATTTAAATTATACAATATACAATTATAAACTAATATATATTAGTTTATATATAAATTGTATAAACTAATATAAATATAAATTGTATAAACTAATTATACAATTAGTTTATTAAACTAATACAATTTCCTGTATTAGTTTATTCTCACATTGATATATGGAATTACCTTAGACTAAGTAGTTTATAAAGAAAAGAGGTTTAATTGACTTACAGTTCCATAGGCTGTACAGGAGGCATGGCAGGGCAGGTTTCAGGAAACTTAGAAAAATTATGGCTCAAGAAAATTATAGCAGAAGGCACATCTTCACATGGCAACAGGAGAGAGAGAGAGAGAGAGAGCAAAGAGGAAGGTGCCACACACTTTACAGCAACCATATCTCATGAGAATTCTACCACAAGAAGAGCAAGGGGGAAGTTCACCCCCATGATTCTATCACCTCCTACCTGGCCCCTCCTTTAATGCTGGGAATTACAATTCAACATGAGATTTGGGTGGGGACACAGAGTCAAACCATATTACTGGCCAAATGATTTCCCTTGGGGATTCTGTAAACCTGAAGAACTCCTGAGTACTACAGAAGAGGGGAGAGAGGTAATCTAAGAGTATGATATTGAAGTTTATGCCTATCAAAAAGAAAAGATTCAAGCCAGTTCTGATTCAACTGGAAAAAAAACTCTTTATCTAGAGTTTATATTATTGAAGAGAAAGAGATAAATAAACTGGTGGTATCAGTGGAGGAAGCAAAGCAAAGTGGTTACGTTTATGGATTTTGGGGGTTGAAGGTCAGCCAGATCTGTCTGAAAATTTACTACCCAAGTGATCTTGGGCAAGTTACATAGAGCCTCTACATCTAATTTTCTTCATCAACAGTAACCGAATTGTAGCACCTCAGCATTTACTAGATGTTACTAGATGTTACTGCTGCTGTTGCTGCTGTTGTTGTTGTTGTTGCTTAAATTGAAGTATAATTGATTCTTAAACAATGTAAGGGTTAGAGACACCAGCCTCCCAGGCAGTTGAAAATTCACATATAACTTTTATATCCCCCCAAACTTAACTATTAATAGCTTACTGTCAATTGGAAATCTTACCAATGACATAAATTCAATTAACACATATTATGTGTGATAAATATATTGTATACTGTATTCTTATAATAAAGTTAGCTGGATAAAAAAAAGGTTATTAAGAAAATCATAAGGCATGGTGGTTCTTGCCTGTAATCCCAGCACTTTGGAAGGCTAAGGCAGGAGGTTTGCTTGGAGTACAGAAGTTTGAGACCAGCCTGGGCAATGTAACGGGACCCCATCTCTAAAAAGAAAGTTTCTAAATAGCCAGGCATGGCAACACATGCTTTCAGTTCTAGATACTCAGGAGGCTGAGGTAATAATAGGATCACTTGAGGCCAGGAGTTCGAGGCTGCAGTGAACTGTGATCATGCTACTGCACTCCAGCCTGAGTGACAGAGGAAGAAACTGTCTCAAAAGAGAAGGGTGGGGGTGGGGGGGAGAGAGAGAGAAAAGAGAAGAGGAGAGGAGAGGAGAGGAGAGAAGAGAAGGAAGGAAAGGAAGGAAAAAGGAAAGAAGAAAGAAAGAAAGAGAAAGAAAGGAAGAAAGAAGAAAGAAAGAGAAAGAAAGGAAGGAAGGAAAGAAGAAAAGAAAGAAGAAGAAAAAAGAAGAAAGAAAAAGAAAGAAAGAAAGAAAGAAAGAAAGAAAGAAAGAAAAGAAAGAAAAAGAAAGAAAGAAAGAAAATACTAAGAATGAAGAGAAAATATACTATTTATTAAGTGGAAATGGATCATAATAAAGGTCTTTGTCTTCATTGTGTTCACCTTGAGTAGGCTGAGGAGGAGAAAGAAGAGGAAGGATTGGACTATCTCAGGGGTGGCAGAGGCAGAAGGAAATCCACATGTAAGCGGACCTGTGCAGTTCAAACCCATGTTGTGCAAGGGTCAAATGTTTATATTAATAGGGTTATATATTAATTCTGTCCGTAGGATCACAAGACTCCAAAAATAAATATGTTTGAATTTCATCCTGCAGGATGAGTTTAATTCCCCAGGTAAAAATGAAGGGAACAACATTCCAGATAGAGTGAACAACCTGGGTAAAGTCACAGAAGAGTTAAAGTACATAGTCCACCCAGGGATGAAAGAGGGTTTAAATACAATCATAATAAAAAGTCTGGGGAAAGAGGCAAAAATGATTATGAAAATGTAAAACAGGGCTATGGCGTAGCAGGCCACATAACTTGTAAGCGGTCAGGAGTCAACAAACATTCTAAACCAAGGAGAAGCAGGATCAAATATGTATTTTAGAAAAATAATTGTGGTGTCATGCAGAGATGAGACTGGAGGAATAAAAGTCAGTAGGATAGGGCATATAGAATAGAAACCACCTGACAAAAGTCAAACAAATACATACACCTAGAAAACCACAGGAAATCCTTGGCTTGGGAGGTAGAAAAACCAAGCAATATTTATCACTTTTTTTCTCCCTCTACTACATACATATGCCCAGAAACACATGTATTCATGAACTGATTACATAACTTTTGCGCCTGTCTTTCCATTCATAAAATGGAGATAATAATAGGTTGTTGTAAGGACTGAATAGGTTGATCCATTAAAAGCGTGTAGCACATAGTAAGGGCTGTATAAACATTGTTGTTTTGTTGTTATCTTGCTCCTTCCTATTACATCATCCCTTTCCTTTTTTAGTTTAATTACTATCCCATTCCCATTGTCAACGATTTTTATATCACCAAAATTCCTATTGTAAGTTTTAGGCCTAAAGCGTTCAGAGAGTTCTACGATGTTGATTCAACTTAACACATTTTAAAAGCGTACCTCTTGTGTTAGGAGAATTTTCAGGTATGAAGGGGAAAGTCCACATATAAAAAGAATCATCCTTTCTTTTTGGCACTGAGGAAACTCACATTCCATTAAGAGGAGGATGAGAAGTACATAATGTAGTAAAACATAACGTGAGATAAAACAAAAGATAATGAGAGAAGTCACAACAAAATGCATGATGGAAAAGCATTTTTGCTGGAAGTCAGGAGACTCGTGCTCTAATTCAGGATTCAATACTTAATGGACAAATTTCCTGAAGCAAGTTGCTGAACCTTGGCTAAGCAGAGAGATATAATGTGTAGGCACTTCCATCTGGAATTAGATGGCGTGTATCACCATCTGACTCTACCATTTACTCACTGTGCACCTTTGGACAGGCTAGTTGACTTCTCTGTTCTTCTGTGGTTTAATCTATAAAATGAAGATGATGATAATACTATCCACTTCCTACAGCTGCTGTGTAGATCAAAGGAATTAAAATATGTAAAGTTATTAGAATACTACTTGCCACTAAGTATACTCCTTGAAATGACAGCTATTTTAAATATTTCTGAACCTCAGTATCTTTCAATGTAAAATAAAGATAATAATTACCTTTAACAATCTGTCTTATAAGATTGTTGTGAGATAATTTATATGAAAGTGCTTTGTCAATCGAGTATATAATATACAAATGTATAATGGTCTGTGTAATATAATAATGAACACTAATACTAGTAGGTAACACATAATTCCTTCTCAGAGTATTCTTTAGCCATCTTACAGATGGAAATTTCACTTGCAGTCCTTCCTAAATGCACCAAAACTAAAATGAAACCTTTACTTTTATGTTGCTGGAATTCTAATCAACGAGAATTCGAGACAATGGGGAAAATAACAAATTGTTATTGAATTTATTTTTTAATAATCATTTGAATGGATTGTCTTAACAGATGAACCTGTAGGCATTGATGACCACATTTTAAAAATGATATTAGAGTAAATACAGAATATTCAGTCTTTTAAAAATGTTAACCACTTGGGATGTCTGTTGACATTTTGCAAAGCAAACCATAAATGTACTTAAACCGATGAGTAAAACATTAAAATTAAAAATCAGCCCATCTTTTCTCCGAGTACCTTTTTCAAATGGCACAGAGAACTTTACACAAGCTCCAGGCACCTCTATATTTAATTCCTAGGGGCAATGGTATTCATCAGTGCATTAAGCAGCCTGGTCAGGTACTGCTGAGTCAACCTCGTTCTGGGACTCTCCTTGCTTGTGAATGCAACATGCAGGCCTTGAGATGTCATTATTCCGACGTTATGATAAGGCACTCACTTATGCTGCTTTACAGGAGAAAGAACCAGAGTTTAAAAGCCATAGCCACCGATTTATATTATGCTACTGTAACACTCTTGAACAGAATCTCATTTTAAAAGACAGTGCCTGCAAGAGAAAATCTTCACTGGCTTAATCCATGATTATGAATTTGGTGGTCATTTGAAAGGTGTCTCTTCTTTTTTTTTTTCTGTTATTTTGTTTTACCATCAATAGTTTAATTTTCATTAGAAATCACAGTCTTGGTACTAAGTCAGCACCAATTTATTTGTAGCACAAAGCGCAAAGGTGATCTTCTTTTTTTTTGTTTGCTTGTTGTTTGTTTGTTTTTTTTTTGAGACGGAGTCTCACTCTGTTGCCCAGGCTGAAGTGCAGTGGCACAATTTCAGCTCACTGCAAGCTCTGCCTCCCGGGTTCAGGCCATTCTCCTGCCTCAGCCTCCTAAGTAGCTGGGATTACTGGCGCCCACCACCACACCTGGTTAATTTTTTTGTATTTTTAGTAGAGACAGGGTTTCACCATGTTAGCCAGGATGGTCTCAATCTCCTGACCTTGTGATCTGCCCGCCTCAGCCTCCCAAAGTGCTGGGATTACAGGTGTGAGCCACCGCACCCGGACAGTGATTTTCTTTTAATGGAAGAACTACTGTTAAGTCACTGGACTGATGAGCTTCACAGGGCCAACACTTCTTAGCTTGGACATGTTTACTAAACAAGTTAAGAGTGCATGCTCTAAATTACCTTGTTTGAATAGGGGCTGTAAATTAGGTTATTGTGAGGAAATGACCACTTTCTCAAAATCTTCAAAGTGCACCAGGAAACATGAAGCTTGGGTGTGTTATAATTAATTGGGAAAATGGTGGATGCCTCAATCATTGCAATTTGGCATGACTAATGAAAGAGTTCTATCACAGCAAAGTCTAGGGTTCATAAAGTGCTTCTTGCCGGGGGAATCTTAAATCATAAATAGCAACATGTTTAGTCCTCTGCCCTTTTATAAGAGATAAAATTGTGGTACAAATAAAGTAGGCTTTTTTCCAAGGTGGCACAGAACTTAACAAAGTGAAAATGTGGCATTTACATTCCTTGATTTATAACCTTTATAACGTTTACTTAAGAATGTATCCAAAGGAAATTCCTATTGTTTATTTTACCATTTGTTTAGTTGAATTGTTAATTAAAACTTTTTTCCAGTATCATTTGCCAGAGGGTGATGCTGATTATAAGAACTAAAACTAGGGATGACATGCACTCTCACATGTAGCAACTGGATACAATTTTAAGTTCAAAACACAGCCTATTCTAGCAAGAAGACTAGGATTAGACAATAGCACCCCTTGCATCCCAATACTGCCATCAGTCTTTACAGTTGGGATTGTCCTTTCTTGACTCTGAACCACACCCAAAAGGTCATCAATCTGTGAATGTTTATTTACACTTCTCCTTACCATCTTGCACGTTATTGACTCTTACAGCTGCCTTTGAAAGAGAGCTTTCAAATAGCCATGAGGAACTAGAGGTTTTTTAAATAAATAAATAAATAAGGCTCCAAATATCAACAAACAGTTGATATTTGACTTTGGAATTCAAGGGATACATTAATAAGTGCTTATGTACCCACAGGCTTCCTTACTCTGTGCCTGAACTCAGCACCCAATCTATGTACCCTAGCTATCAGCTTTTCAGGGTCCTGATGAGAAACAAACAAGAGGAAATCAAACACTTGAGTGTTGACAGTACAGTCCAGAATCTGGAATTACTGTGACTCCTTACAAGTGCTCAGAACTCCTTAATTGGTTATGTGAATTTGTCATCCTCTATCAAATGTATGGGGATACTGCCTGCAAGTAAACCTCCACTCAGACCTCAGAAAGCAAAGGTCAATCTTTCAAGGAGAATTTAGGAAATATTTAGAAACAAAGAATAATTCCACACTAGGAAAGTCATAGGTGCTCAAACAGTAAGAAATTTAAATCCTCCACTACATATATGTAAGTTCACACATGCTGGTCATCAGCTGGCATCTTTAGTGAGTATCTTCTATTGAACTCACTACAAGTAAGTAAGCTGAAGGGCAATTTCTGAAATACTGTGAACATGTGTGTTTTTCTATATAGTTGGCTGGGTAGGTTCTTACCTAGCTCTACACAGTATTTAACACCAGATTATAGATTAGCCTCTCAGGGGAAATAATGGTACACACTTATTATATGTAATATAATAGCCATTCACAGAAGATCCCCATTATACATGACAGCAATGAACCCAGTCCCTGGAATTAAGAAACTGTACATCAGGGCTGGGTGTGGTGGCTCACACCTGTAATCCCAGCACTTTGGGAGGCTGAGGCGGGCAGATCACAAGGTCAGGAGATCGAGACCATCCTGGCTAACATGGTGAAACCCCGTCTCTACTAAAAATACAAAAAATTAGCCGGGCTTAGTGGCAGGCACCTGTAGTCCCAGCTACTCAGGAGGCTGAGGCAGGAGAATGGCGTGAACCCAGGAGGCAGAATTTGCAGTGAGCCAAGATCGCACCAGTGCACTCCAGCCTGGGCGACAGAGCGAGACTCCATCTCAAAAAAATAAAATAAAAAAATTAAAAAAAAACTGTACATCAGAAACAACTCAAATGGCCTTCAACAACTTTTAAAAGGATAAACCATCTGTGGTACGTTCATGCAATGAAATACTACTCAGCAATCAAAAAGAGCAAACTGTTGATACACCCAACAACACAGATGAAGATCAAATCCATTATGCTAGTAAAAAGAAGCCACACAGAAGAAAGCTACATACTGTATGATTCTATTTATATGACATTCTGTAAAAGGCAAAACTACAGGAATGGAAAACAGATCAGTGGTTTCCAGGGTTACAGGATATTGGGAGGGATTGACTGCAAAGGGCAGCACAAAGAAGTTTTGGGGGATGATGAAATTCTGTTTCTTGCTTGTGGTCGTGATTACATTACACACTGGTAAAACTCAAAGAATTTATATCCCTGAAAAAGTGAATTGTACTGTATTTAACCTAAATATCAAAAGTTCAAAAGCTTCACATAGTTTATATTTCTCATTCTCATGTATTCAAGAAGAAGAATTGTCTTTCAAATATTCCTACTAAACTCCTGCTTATCACTTTCAAGAACTTAGCTTCAAAGTTAGCTCTTCTGTAAAGCCTTCCCATACCTCTCTATGTTCTGGCTTCTTTCTAAGATTTTTTTAAGGAAATAAACATTACTCATATAGCCAATATCCATGTGGATAAAGGCTCCTTCTCTTCCAGGGGTCTCCCCCATGCTGGAGTTCGCACGCATTCTTCCCCAACATGCTTTTATACTTTTATTACATAGTTACGTACCAACAAATTGTTATGGGAAGGATAATTTTACGTTAATAGATATTAATATTGCATCAATATCACATTTTTTTTGAGACGGAGTCTTGCTCTGTTGCCCCGGCTAGAATGCAGCGATCTCGGCTAACTGCAACCTCCGCCTCCAGGGTTCAAGCAATTCTCCTGCCTCAGCCTCCCGAGTAACTGGGATTATAGGCGCCTGCCACCGCCCCTGGCTAACTTTTGTACTTTTAGTAGAGACGGGTTTCACCATCTTGGCCAGGCTGGTCTCGAATTCCTGACCTCGTAATCCACCCTCCTCGGCCTCCCAAAGTGCTGGGATTACAGGCGTGAGTCACCGCGCCCGGCCAATATCACATGTATTCTTTTGCAATTTGCTTTTTTTCATCCAACATTGCTTTTAAGATAGTCAATTCATAAAGAGTATTTCACTGTAGGGATATGCCAATACATTAATTCACTGCACTTTTGACAGATATTTAAGCTGTTTCCATGCTCCATGTTACACTGTGCCATATTTATCTGTTATTATATCTCTTCTTCTTGCAAGACAATGAGCAATTCCAGAACAGAAAGCATCCAGAATTCCTATCCCTTTCCCTAATTTCCGGTACACCTGCAAATCACTGCCTGCGTAATGTGTTTCGCATGGAAAAAGATGCTGTGTACCTGGCACACAATAAGCACCACTCCATAAAAATGTGTTGAAAGAATAAAAGCTGACAAAATGTTATTTTAAATCTTGCGGTCTCTACTCACTTCTCTGCGGTGTAAGATTTAAGGGGGAACTGACTCAATTCTCACTAAAAAGTCCCTTAGTATTCCAATGTGGACGTAGAGAGATCTATGAAACAAGGTCACTTCACAATTCTCTTGCTTTCGCGTTAGAGGATCTCAAAGCACTACACAAACCGCGATTTTCTCCAGTGATTTTTCCTCTCAATGTGCCTCAAGGTCAGTTCAGAGCAGTATTCAAAGCTTGAATACTCTTCACCAGCAGCTGTAAAGGGCCGGAAAACCAGAGTCTGGATGTAAATAACAGTAACAAACTATTCCCGGATCTTGTTTTTTCTTTTCTTTTCATGGGTCCCCGTTTGCGCTCTTAGTCGGCTTACCCGTCCTGTTCCAGGAGCCGACAGGGAACAGCCCACCTGGAGCAGGTCTTGGGCCACCACTCGCCCCGCCCCCCGTCTCTACTCCTCACTCGCTCTCCCCGCTCCTATTAAGCAGCCAACGCTGGGTGATCTCCTCTCCAGTTCTTCGTGGTTTCATTGTAGCCTTGATATACAAGACAAATGCACACTTTACTCTGGGCTTAAAAAACCATCTATCATCATCCTTTGGGCATGACAAATACATTGTGTGTTTCAGAGAAATTAATCTGGTATTTAGGGGGAGAAAGGCATTTCCAACCAGTCTCCGTGCAGAACCTTCCCGCAAACCCTGTAGCGGCATTTTTCGACACTTTTCTCCTCCTTTCGGCAAGCCTCAAACTTGACCTTCGAGAGGATTTTAAGGGTAGAGCCTTCCTCCCTTTCCCTCGTCTGCTCCAAGAGCTCACGTAGGCCTTCTTCTGGGAAACAGCGGCTCAGGACCAGAGCTCGGAGAACTGCGCGTCCAGGAGCGCGGGCGCGGCCGGGGAAAAGGGAGGAGGCGGCAGGAGGGGGCAGGAGGTGGAGGGAGGAGGAGGATCGGTCTGAATATGCATGAGGCACCCAGCACTGCCCTCTTCCCCGGCAGCTGCTCGGGCGGGGGCGAAGGAGGGAAGGGGAGGGGAGGGGAGGAAATGAGGCTGGGGCGGGGTGGCCAGAGCAGCCGCAGAGGCTGACGCGGGTTTGGAGAACGGAAGAGATGATTTGCATGGCGCCTGGTGATTGGCTGATGGCCGGGGGCTGGGTCTGAGAGGCGGCCCCTGAATGGTTTAACGGAGGAAATTACAAGATTCATTCGACTAAAGAAAGCCGGGGCGGGCCTGGTCGGCGCAATATGCAGCCTGTCCGCAAGGGGGCGCGATGGCCTATCTTTGTTCTGGTTAAAGGCTCCTTTTCCCTCCTCCCCCGCCCCCGCCTCCGCCCCCGCCCCCGCCCCCACCCCCCACACACAGACACACACGCAGAAAGTGCAGAGAAACCCTGTGATCCAGTCAACTGGCTCTGCCCCATCTATTAAGAAAGATGAACACTCCTTTCTCTTCCATCTCCTTCATGGGAGACCACTTTTCATTTCAGATTATCACATCAATAAATATTCTTCGAGGAATAAAAAAGGCACTTTGCCAAAAGATAAGAGAATATATATGCAATGTCTGGATTGTGGAGAAAGACAATACATGAAGGCAAGAGAATAGGCACATATATGTAAATATGCACATAATCACCTCCGAGAACGCAAAGCACGGGAGGTAGAGACAAACAGAACACCTGGAGAGAACACATATCGCTCACAAGGTTCTCACAGGCTGTGCACGCTCTTCCACACACCGAGGCACACACCCACTGACCGGCACGCAGTCTCCCCCTCCACACACACACACACACACACACACACACACACACACACACAGAGACGGACCTCAGAAAAGGCATCCAAATGAATTCACACTCAGTGGAAAGACTGCCGAGAAAATACTAGAGAAGAATTAAAATGGTTCATCCCCTCCCCCTCCAAAAAAAATACTCAAGCGAAATGACTCTATTTGCATAATACTAATATACGCAGGACGCAGACACGGGCAAGAAAAAAAAAAGGCTCCATTTGATGCACACCAGAGAATGGGTGTATACACACACACACACAAACACGCACACACGCACGCGCGCCTGCGGGCGGGACACACCCACAGCCTATGTCCTCCGCCCACGGGCACGGGCAGAGCACCGATGCCATCAACAGCGCTCAGTACAGTTGTCCAGAAAACACCAATGCGAGAAAAACGAAAGAAACCCACCCTATTCAGCCAAGGAAGCACCACTGGGGAACCTAGGTTTTCTAAACACACACGCATACACAACAGGCACACACACACAACCTTGTTAGACAAGAGAGTTGAGTTCAAAGATATAATAGATGCACAATGGATAACTGAGTGCTGGAGAATGTCATCCGCTTAAACAATACTTTGAAATTGTTTCAGCCTGAAGACAGCTTTCTGGGTTGCTCCCTGAAAAATCATACCTAAGAAAAATAAAATCTCATTGATCCTGCTTTCCTTTTACTTTCTTTTTTCTTCTTTTCTTTTTATTTTTCAATGACCGAATAGAGGGAGAATTCCCTTTCCTCCAAAGGAGGGTAGCCCTGTTTTTGTTTTTTGAGTCCATGAACTTACTGTTCATTTCCTAGTGAAGAAGGTGCCAGGGAGCGGTCCTCGGCAGCCTCCCAGCCAGACAGCGCCACAAAAAGGCATTATTACACATCCCAAATAACAAGGGTTGTCTATATATTTACAAATCTGTTCAAACATTTAACCTTTTAACTTGCTAAATATCCCCCTCTTCTCTTTCTTTCTTGCGCTCTCGGCTCTCCCCCCTTTCTGCTTTCTCCTCCTTTTCCTTTCTCTTTCTAAAAGAGCTAGGGATGGGAAGCGCCTTTTCTTGAGTCTAAAATGAGTACAGGGACTCTGGGCTGTACCTGACCCTTTTTGAATGCCAATTTCGTTTTCAGGCAATTGCCTCTTTGCCAGCCAAAAGATCGGGATTGGATCACCAGGGCTACCTTTTTAAAGTAGAAGCTTCTATGTTGCCTTTCAGTTTTTAAACTGCCGCGGAAAAGCATCCACTAAATCGGAGGGATTTTCCAGACCTTTTAAAAGTTTCCAGTACCCCCAATCCGTGATGTTTCCTTCCGCGTTGCACCTCCTGCCCGTCAAGTGACTAGTAGAGGGTATCTTCTAAAGACAGCCAGAAAGTTTCGACAGTGTTTGGCGACCCAGCCAAGGCCGGGGTGACGCACACTCCTACTGCAGGGGCCAATTTGGAATTCCATCTTTTAGCATTTCTTACTGCCCAATCTTTTCTTATGAGACTAATAACCTCATTCTCAGGGCCAATGTAAAATGTGAAACTATAGAGCATGTGGGCCTTTAATGCAGCAGAAGAGTTAGATTCCTCAAAAATTGGGGCATTCTTACTTTGCTGCACGAAGAGAAAAGGAAACTTGTGCCTGGGCATGGTGGAAAGGCGCAGGCGGCGGGCTACCGATCCGGGCGGTGCCAACGCCCTACTCTGCAGCCAGGTGCCCTGGGTGGGCTTCCATTCAAAGAACCCACAAACACCCTTATCCCAGGATCTTCACTCTTCGCCCAGGACTCTACTGTGAAGAAATTTAAAGTGGCCTGGAGGGGCTTCCCCCTGCCATTCTGAGTTTCCTTTTCTAAAATAAAAGAATTGCAAGAAAAATCCATTGCCTTTGAAGTTGAAACAGAAAGGGTGACTTCTTGTTGGCATATTTTCTCTGGCCTAGAACAATGACTTTATTTATGTATTTGTTTGTTTGTTTGTTTCTGGGTAGTGGAAAAAATGAAACTGCAGTTTAGCGAGACATCATGCGTGTCTCGGATTTGTTCAGGTGTCCATAATATTTCAGCCTCTACCAGCTTTAGATGAGTGTTAGCCTCTGAGGTGCCCCACCCCGGATCGGCCCGAAAGCACCCGAGAAAACCCAGCCCTCACCTTGGAAGCTTGCCTTCAGCAAACTCCAGTTGGGTTTACACCTCTCGGTGGTACAATAGCCCGGAGCCCATGGGTATCCGCTAGTCGCTGACTCTGAAATGCGCCGGTCTGCGAGGTAATAATGACCGTTGCTTGCGGCTGTCAGGGCTGGCACGCCGCACCAAGGGCACTCAGGGCCGGCCAAGCCTTGAACAAGGGGAAGGGGGATATGGATAACGTATACGTTTTAAAGAGGTTTACTGAAAACTTTTACAGATCCCACATAAGAGATGGAAGGAAGGCTAAGTGAGTTTAAAAAAAAAAAAGTGTGTTTACTCTTTGTACCATGACAGATCCGGGAGGAAAAACGGTGGCACTAGATTATTATGCGGTGCTTTCTGTAAAATGCCATCAATTTCCATGCTCGTGTGATGGTCAGGACATTTCCCCCTATTGCACAAACCCCTTATGAAAACTGCAGGCAGTTTAAGAGTTTTCCTGTTCTTCCTGATCAGAAAAGATATTCATCCAGAGACATTATCTAAATCTGCAAAAGAATGAAGGCTGCTTGTCATTCGTCCTTCGTCTCCAGTAATGTGTGCCATCCAATTAGAAGCAATTTGAGCAATCAAGGCCGTTATGGGAGAAGCGGGTGTTAAAAATAGGTTTTCTATAGCCTGAGAACTCTAATTCGGAAGAAAATCTAAAATTACATATGTATCATTTCTTTATATAAAATAAATATATAATCTGAGTGTCTCCTGTTAGCTCTTATTTTTTCCTCCATGGTCCCTCCCCTATTGCCTGCCTTCCTTTTGGGAATTCATAACAAAAGTCAAGAGTAAAGCTCAGATGAAAAGGGAGTAGGGACCCTAAAAAAGTCTTTCTGAGACCTAACGAGAGGCTCTGGAAGGGGCTTGGCCCAATCTTTCCGGGGCTCCCGGCTGCCGTAGCGTCCCTGATAGTGGTTGTTATCTGACTTTCATCCGCGGTGGGCGGAAAAGTCCCAAAAGTAGTGTCCCGAGATGGAGGGACCCTCATGCCTGGAGTCGAGTAGTATGACCCCGGGACCCCGGGGGTCAGGGATAGTGGGCTGAGAAGCTGGCCTGTGGGTCACTGGAGGCAAGTCAGAACAGCTGCTGACACGCGCGTTCATCTTGGGGGGTTAAGGGATGCAGAAAAAGAGCTAAGAGGATGTGTTGGGAGTAAGTGGGTAAGTAAAACATGTTTCCAAGCAGAACACGAGAGTACAAAATTTTAAAAAGCAAAGCGAAACAAAGCATAGACTCCGTGCAATGTCCTCTAGCAGCAGCAATGTGCTCAGGGTGTCACATCTTACTCATGTCCCGCATTCCCAAGGGGTGAGCGCAGAGTAGATCCAGGTAGGGACCTGGTGCCCAAGTGCACCAGTGGCGGACTCTGGCGCCTCTTATTTACATTAAACCTGTCCCTCAGCATTCCGTTTTAAGAGGCGTCTTTACTCTCTCCAGCTCTCAGAAGAGAGTTGAAGAGAGCGGGTCGGGAAACCAACAAGAGCAAAGTTGGCAGAACTTCTAGAAGTGCAGAGCCAGCGCTTGCTCTTCTTGCAGGCCCCAGAGTTGGAACCCACTCCTGATCATTTGATGCCTTTGGCCAGCTGGGTCAAAGTTATCTGGAAATGAATGGTGTTCAAAGTTAAACACCTAAAACCTGAACCCTGAAAGCCCTGGCGGGCAGGAGGGGCGGAGAGGAGTCGTTCACTATACTAAGCCGAGCTCTGGGCCCAGAGCAACAAGAGTCGCTGAGGCAGGCAGGAAGTACCCCCCTGCACACCACGAGCGGACACCAGCCGTCTCTAGCAAGCTGACAACCTCCGGAGTGGGAATTAATCACCTGGCAATAACTCCCTTTCAAAACCCAGTGTTCTGGACGGAGTTTAAGTCAAAACAATTTTCCCTTCCCAGAGTTTCTAAGGGTCCAGGATGAGTGTGGAAGTGGGAACGAATCTTGTCGCAGATGTGCCACTGTTGTTCCAAAACAATAGCGGTTCCAGAGGAGGCAGCAATGCCTCAACAGGACAAACTGAGGATCCGCATTTGCGTTTCTCAGAGAGTGAGTCACAGACCGACTGTCAGGCAAATGCTGGGGCCCCATCACCTCCAGGTGATCCTTTACAGAAGTTTCTGGTACATGGCTACAATAATATTGCAATATTAAAATCCTTTCTAATAGCACCTAATTTATTTCCTATTTATTCTGCTTGCTTGTATGTGGTTTATGAACTGAAACCACCTGATTGTTAACAAATGTATCGATTTAACAATTCAAAAAGTATTTCCATTTTCAAATACTTTTCCCTTGAAAGTAATGTTAACATTTCTTGAACTTAAAGCTTCATGAAAATTGCTTTCAAAATTTTTTGTAAATGTAAATATACTGTATTTTTACACAGTTGAGTTAGAAATAGCTGGTATTTTAAAAATATAGACATATTAATGGGCATTTCTTAATTTAATTCCTCCTTTTACTTCATAATGTCCCAATATGTTGAAGCAGAAATCAGAATAGATAGTATTGACAAGAAATGTATCCTTTAAAAGTCAAATTTGTCCTTTAAATTGGCTTTTCTCATAAAGCAGCTCTAAAGTTTAGTATATGTGTATAAATTTATGCATACAACATAATATAGTCTTTTCTCTGCTATTAACTAGCCAGGGAAATTCAAGTCTTTTATTCTTAGTATGTCACAGCTTTTTTAATTTGAGATATCTAACTAAATAATCTCCAATTCAGAAATTGTAGAGTTTTTGAAATATTTTACTTTAATGTATTCTGCAGTTATATAAAAATAACAAGGCAATAATAATATCAAAATTAAAATTTCCCCGGAATATTTTACATAATTAGAACCAATAATACTCTGTGTTTTCACTGTCTACAAAGACTTCCTAACCTGATCCATCACTCCTAATAGTCTAAGAGTCCATTAATATACAGTAAGGATGAAAAAGAATTGTGTATCTTTATGCATATATCTTTACTTTTATGTAAAGGAGGTCATCTCTTTCACTGGATACCCAGTGAAATTCATGATTCAAAAAAGAACCATTGATCTACACTTGAAGCCTTCATAAGTGAGAACACAACCACCACCACAGCAATCATTGCATTTACATTTTGGATATAAGTAATAATTTTTCTAGACATCCTGGAATGTAAAATGTTGGAAAGATCAGTAAGCTAAAAATGAAGAGATTTTTAACTCTGGGTCTTCCTCTAAATGTCTAGTGACTTTAAATGAGATGCCGTATTCTGCTGGGGCCTAATTTATCCATACAATTAAGAAATTGAATCAGATGAGCTCCCCAAGTCCATCTAGTCTTACAAGTCCATAAAGTTCTGGACACTGTGCAGAGTAACTGGATCTGTCATTATTCAGTGTTTTTCAAAGCAAACATCACAATTTAGGCATAAGACTATGCCAGAAGCTTTACTTCTTTGTGATCTTATTTGCACCTTACTGTAGCTCTTCCTTTGCATGGATGAAATGATTAGTTCTTAAAGTAATTTAAAGGTATCAAACGAGATGTAAAGTTCTTCACTGGTACTGCTTGTCGTTGTAGGAAATGATGTTCTCAGAAATGTTGTTATCTATAAGAATTTCATGCCCCTAAAACAAGCTTAAATTTTCCTTCAGCTATTGAAGTTGGTAAATTAATACCTTTGATAATTTTATAACTTTCTATGGAAGACAGCTGGTTCATTTCAGTGGTTATAAGAATCAAGAACTACAAAAATATATACTCTCTGATAGTATTGTTGAAGCTTTTTCTCCGGTAACAAAGAATCTTTGCTCAATTCTTCACCCCTTGACCCCGATCTCACCTCTATTCCCAATATGCAGTCCTCACCTAGACCCATTCTTCCAGGCTGATGCTGAGTTTATTTACTCTAAGCAACATTTTCAGGAATCAACATCAGCAGATTACTACAATGAACATTTTTTTTTAGTTCAGCCTCAAGTCTATGAAATTAATTTCCATTTTGATAATCACAAGACTTTCCTTGGAAATATCAGTGACTGCACAAGCCATAGGCAGATCAAGTGTAGATGCTCCATCATCTGAATAGGGTTGGGTTATGTTTTCAATTGGAACAAGGTATTAAGTGATTAAACTGTGCCAGAGGACACAGCACTTTTATCAAGCCCTTTTCTATCCAAGCAGGCACAAGGATAGTCAATCCCTGGCCCTGAAAGTCTACAAGGAAAACTTGGAATGCTTTAGGAAATCGTGTTTATAATTAAAGCACTGGCATTTTTCTTCTCATTACAGAATAAAGGCTGAATACAATTTTTGAAACTTTACCTTTTTTTAATTTCAATTAAGCTGCTTAAGATCCTCTTGCATTCATTGACAGGATTTTTGGCCCATTCTGCTATTCTAGTCCACAACCGTTTAAGTGTTAAATGTTAGCAGATTACAAGTGACTAACAGTGGAATATTCGGAATTCTATATGCCATTATTTTAATTCCTACCACAGCTAGCATTCACACAAGATAGAAGTTCAAAAACCAGTTTGGGCACTATATTTTGCCCATCTTCTTGTAGATATAGTTAGAACACTGATGTGTCATCACCTTATTCCTCTCAGCATACCTGGCATGTGTCTGAGAGAATGAGTGAATTAAATGAATGAATAAATATGCAAGGTACCCAATGTCTATTTGACTATTTAGACCTGCGGAAGAAGTGGCAGCTTTTTAGTGATTACTAGCGTGGGTTCTATATTATAAATGTTCTTAAATAAAAATACAAAATGAACACAATAAGACACTAAGTATATGTCATAAATCTGAAATAAAATTGCTAAGCACTCCATTATCATAAAATTCTTTTTAGAAGTCTTCCAAGAGAGGGAAATTGGGGCAAGTAAAATCAAACTTACTAGGAAGGCCAGAAGGTTACATTGTCATGCACTGTTCTTAGTGCTTTGTGTGGATTATCTCATTCAATCCCCCCAGAAAAACCATCTGAGGCATGGACAATAATGACCATTTTACAGGTAAGGACAGCGGGGCTTAGAGAGGTTAACCCACTGCTTAGCATCATATGATATTGATGACTGGCATTCTAGAGTCAAGGTTTAAATGGAGGCAGTCTGGTTGCAGAAACAAAACTCCTAGCGATTAGGTGGTACTTCACACAGAAAAGTGTTAAATTAATGCTCATATAACTTGTGGAAAGAAGTATAGGAACACAAAATTAAAGAAAATTTCAGAAAATTAGCAGGTGCTTCCGAGAATCCAAAGACTATGCTTATATCACTAGTGGAAACAGAAAGAAAAGAAAAGGCAGCGTGACATGGATTATAGCGTCAGCTGAGCTGGGTTCACTGTCTTAACTCCCCATTTATCCACTATGAGACCTGGGACAAGTTACCTAACCTCTCTGAGTTAATTTTTCTGAGTCACTTCTTTAACCATACATTGGCAGTAAAAATACTAACCCCTTGGAATTTTAATGATTAAATATAATGGATGCAAAGTAACATGTATAATAAGCACATGATAAATATAAGTTATTATTGTGTGGGATGTAGATTACAGGACTGAATTCTATCCTAATTGTTGTCTGAGGCAGCGTTGGCTTTATTTTGAAAATTGAAATGCCAGTATTCAGTTAGGTTATACTTCCCCTAGTTGCTTCCACAACATCCTACTTCTGTTTTTCCCATCCTTATATTTTCAGAGAATTTTCTGTTACAGTTAATATGAAACAAAACAGTTATGTTCCTTTGTATTTCAGAGGTGAACTTGCACACAATGTCCCTGTCCTCATGGAAAGTACTTTCTTGAAGGTATAAAGAATGTCACATCTGGAGGAGGCCTGGAAAAAGAGGAAGACTACTATACTTGTATGAGAGAGCTTGAAATGAGAGTGAACAGAATTTTTAATCTGGTCATTAATTTTTCAGTAAGAGGAGTTCTCTCTGTCCATAAGGATTTATATTTACTTAATATTTTTAATTTTTATCAAAGTAAAGCATATACATGATTTTTAAAATAGTACAGAATGATTTACAATGAAAAGCTACAGTCTTTTGCCCCAATTTTCTCCACCTCCATTACAGCTCCTCATTTTAAAAATCAGCTTTAATGTTTTTAACTGTCTCTGATTTTTCTTCTGCTGCTGATTACCACCATATTGGTAAATAATATATTTACACATCTAGTTTTTGGTTTATCAATTTTGGACATGATCACAAACTTCTGCCATAAAAAAACGCAGACATAGTTTACCCTTACCACTTTCCACACCATTTCCCAATATAGTTACATCACTATTTTTCTTTCCTATATTGTTTGTCTTTTTAATTTTAATTAATACATTTTCACATGTATTTCTTGATTCATTAACCACAAGTAATATCTCTTGATTTCATACTTTGGCTCTCCTCCTGTCACCACCTAAATAATATTCTTTGCATTCTGTGTTTATCTTATTACAATTGATGACCTTATATTCTGCTATTTAATTCATAAAATTAAGATTTTTGTACTTTTTATAAGTTCAACATAAAATTGAAAATCAAGAAAGGTTTTAAATAGTCATGATGAAACAAATATTATTTATTGCACAACCATAATTGTAATTCCTCTTGTGCAGCCTTTTGTTTTTCCTAGAGTTTCCTATTGCCTTTCTTTTTAGTGTGAATGGTCTATTATTGTTGGCTTCATAGGTTTCTCATATTCTCAAGAATGGTATCAAATCCTTGGAATCTATTATTTATTTAAATGCCTCTCTCCATGAGCCAACTTCTTTTCTACTCCAGTCTTGACAAATATTTATCCAAACTGCACAAAATACAGACTGAGACATCCCTTCATTACTTTCTGGGCTGTAGCCAACATTTTCTGTATGGGATCTCATGTTATTTTTGGATCACCTCCTCTCTCCTCTCCACTATTGTGCTCAAGTAACCTCTTAAGGCTAAGCAGGTGGGAGACAATTTTTCTAAGTTATTTCTTGACTAAAAATGTCCTTTATTAAATTTTCAAATTATATTGATAATTTGGCTGTGTGTAGAACTCTAGGTTTTAAATATTTTACCCTCAGACATTTTAAGACATTGATTCACAATTTTGCTATAGCTAATGAGAAGATTAATCCAATCTTACTCTCATTCCTTTGTAAAAGTTCAGGCTTTCTTCCTCTCTGGAAGCTTTTAAGATCTTCTCTTTACCCTTAGTGTTCTGTAGTTTCAAATAATTTATCTAATGTGAGTCTGCATTTTTTCATTGTTCTGAACATTCAATAGATACTCTCAATTTAATTACACATGCTCTTCAGCTCTAAGAAAAATTCTAGTACTTTGTCTAATACCTCCCTTTACTTATCTTATTTCTTTCTGAAATTCCTATTAGTTGAAGTTAGTCTCCAAGATTAAACTCTTTATCTCTTGCATTTCCATTATATTTTCCACATATTTTTCTATTTGTTTTACCTTTTTTGAAATTTACTTAATTTTATTGTTCAGCCATTTAACTGATATATTTTTACTCTGATAATCACATTTTTAAGTACCAAGTGAAACTTCTTGGTCTATAATTTATTTTCATAGTATCTTATTTTATGTCTATATATAGATAGATAACATCCTATTCTTGTTTTACTGATGCATTTTCATTACATTTTTAATATCTGAGATGTATGAATTAGAATTTTTAAGTTTTTTTGGCTGTTGTTCCTGAATTGCCTGTTTCCTACAGGATGTTGCTGTCTTCCTGACTGTCTGTTTCTCTCTTTATGACTTGTTTTTTGTTTTCAGATTTTTGTTTGTTTGTTTTGTTTTGCTTTGTCTTTCTCATTTATATTGCTGGCTTTTTTCAAAGGACTAGAGATACTTGGTTTCTGTTTATAATTAGGATATAGTAAAATGACTGGTAGCTCTCTGAACTTGGGCAGAGTCTTATATACTGACAGTTTAATTAATGAAATGTGATTGAGAAGCTGTGTATGGAGGAACACATACTTGCCATAATTCAGAGGTCTTTGCTCTGAAATGTCAATACCTACGTGAGCGTCCCTGTACCCATTTTGGCAATTTCTGTAGCGAAGTCCCTTCATTGTATTTGTCTGGGAGGTGGTACAATACCTATATACTACACACTGATATGGGGGCACTGGTAGTTTCACATGCAATCAATTAAATATCTGTTTTTAGTTACGTATCTCTTATGCTCCCACACCCCTGGTATTTCTGAGTTGCAAGCCCTTGAGGGTTCCACATGGCAGACTGTCCCCTTTTATGCTGTAGTCACCTCTGCACATGTTCTAAATAGTGGCTGCTTCAGCTTTGGTATATCATTTTCCACTCCTCCATCCATTTTTCAACTCCTAGAACTTTAAAAAAAAAAAACTATCTTTTCTATTGGCCTCTTCCGGTGTTCTTTGTTTTATACACTTAAATATTATTTTCTATATTTTTTAACATTTCAGGAAGGTCAGATTGCCATAAAGAACCAGAAGCTATATTTAAAAAATTTAAGACTCTTCTAATATTGTTTATACTTTACTTAATACTACAATGAATGTATTCCTTTTTATTGGCAATTTTTAATCAATCATGAACCTGAATTTAATTTACAAAATAAATTAGCAGGAAGATTCAGCTAGTTCTAAAACACTCTTTGATTATTTGAATGATCTTACAACTCATTTTCAAACTTATGTTTCATAATGTGAAATGGATATGTAACATTTATTTCTAGGGGACCCTATGTTAGTATTAAGATCCTTAAGACAACTTTGGATTATTGATTATTGAAATTTATATATACCACACATCCTTTTTAAGTAAACTTAAAGAAACTAGAAATCTTACTTGTAGCAAAAGCATACACAACAACAGTTGACATTCTACTACTAGATGTAAGTTTGCTTACCAACAAAAACGGAATCTTAGATCCTTCCGCAAAAGTATCTTCTGTACCCTCACAATGGTCAAAGCATTGTAAGTGATACTGAAAATTACACACATTCTTTGACCCTAATTCATATGTTCACCTTATATAACAGATCTGCGAGAGTTGTGGTCATGTCTATGTTCTTCACCACTGCAACTCCAATGCTAACATAACTTTTGCACGTTGTGGTCAATTGCTAAATATGTGCTAGTAAATGTTGAAAGAACTATGCATCCAGACAAGGTTCTGAAACTGACAATCAGGTTTGGGAAATTAGATATATTAAGATGTATTAGGAATAAGAGTCTGCAGCATTCAATAAATGTCGTAAGTGTCACCTGAGCAAGTGCAATAATAGGTATTCAAAGGAGGGAGAGTTTGCTTTAAGCCAAGATGATTGGAATACCCAGCAGAAAATAAGGGATAGGATTTGGATAGGTAGAAATGAGAGGGGAAGAGCTTTACATGGCATAAAGGGTTTAAGTCTAAATAATATCCAGCTTATAAAATGTTTGTATTCATTTAATATATTTAACTTAAAAACAAAAGCATGACTTAGATAATTCAAAAGTAAGAACTTCCTAAAGAATCACTGAAGGGAGATCAGATCTCCTTTCTTAGATCAACTCTATAAAATATACTGAATGGACATTTAGACATAATCATCATGGTAAATAAATGCATTCTTGAAACAAGGTTAAAAAGTTTCATATCATATCTGCTTGACTTTGGAGCTGAATTAAAATATACTATTAATTCAGTATACAAATGGACCTTATTTGCAGTTGATTGCTTAGGAAGTAAGGACAAATATCTCTCATTCCTGATTATTTTACAAGTTTTGGCAATTTCAACTCATAGTTCATAGATTTTCCTAATGAAAACAGAATGCTTGCATATTTTACACTCTGTTTTACAAATACCAAAGTGCTTGCACTTTAATCAAATAAATCACAAAGTGGATCAGGCAGAAGTAAATAAACCTGGCTAAAATTCCCCAACAGAGCACTGCCTGCGACAGATTGCGACCCTCAATGGTGGGTCAGTGCACACACTTGCAATGGTAATAACAGGGTCTTTTTCCAAGCAGAGAGTTGGAAGTCACCATCAATTCCAATTTTCCTAAGAGAAAGTGACATCTCAACAAAGACAGGGATACCCATGATTATTGGAAGAAAAAATGTAAGCAGGCAAAGAAAGGGAAGAAATAATAAAAATGATAAAATTGTAGTAATAGTCAAGCACTGTGGGTTTTTTACATGTATTGGTTAATTTCAGGTGACAAAAAAGAAGGAAAGTAGAGGGAGGGGAAAAATAAAATCTTCTGGGAAAGTTTTTATCTTAAAATGATATACAATCTTCCTGCTGTTGTCCTTGAGGAAGTGTGATGAAGTAGGCTCTCTGTCTTACCATATATATTGTTGCTCTGAAGTCTTAGATCTTATCAGAAATCAGCCTTGCTTAACAGTTTAGGTGATAAAAGAGATATTCACTGAGGTATTCACCGGAAACTCCACCATGACAGCCAGATGGAGAGAAATACCTAATACCTTTAAATGTTTGGGTAACAGGAACTCAAATTAATTGTTATCAATAATTCTCAATGCAAATGCTATATTTCTATATATAAATGCTATATTTCTACATATAAAACTCAAATAGCATGTTGTTTTTAAAATTACTCATTAGCTGTATAAATCCTCTTCTAAAATAGTGCCTCATGCCCTTAAATGGAATGAATAATCAACAGCATGGTAGTAAAAAGTGCACAGCTAAGATAAGGGTCTTGGAAGTGTAGACTCTGACCTCAACTCAGGCAAGAATCACCACAAAGTCCCAAGTTTTCCAAACACTCTTAAAGTCATCAGGTACTCATATACTAGAGAAATAGTAAATCCCTCCCAGAATTGGTTATGCCTTTAAATTGACTTTTACGCATTTAGATTTGTTCTGATTTAAGACTGCCCTCTCCTTAATGAACTAGCTAAGCTCTACAACTCTAGTTCTAAAGAAATAAAATGTGTCATTTACGGCCATCACACGGAGAGGCCATGTACCATTCAGGATGCATCTTAGCTGTGTAAATTAATTTTGAAAGGAAAAATTGTACTTGTGTTCTAGTGGAACCCTATATTATAAGCCAATATCTAAGCCACCTGGTCATTTTAAATTTCAAAAATTATGCCTTATTTTTTCTCTTTTACATAAGCAAAGCTTACTATTGTTTTAAAACAAGTAAATCAAAGGCCAGTAAAAACTGGAAGCTAATAGCAAAGCAGAAAGAAATCATTAAACCCTGCTTTTACAAAGTTTCAGCCTCTCTCAAAAGCACTAACTTTTTAAACATTAGTATTTTTCATGACTCAAAGGGACTGAAAAGTCATTTACTCGTTTGGCAGTGTCAATCAAGCCACCTTGACACTCTTATTCCACCTATTTTTACTTCTCACATGCCTAAGCTCCTCCACACACCAAATTGAGTGCTTAATTGTCCAATCATTTTTAGACCAATAGTTTTTTCTTCTGGCAAAGCCAAACAACCATAAGAGGCTGATTGGGAGTGTGCAACATTGCCAAAACTGAACCCATATGTGAGCACTGCTTTTATGGTATGCAGGCCTCAAGAAGAGAAGCTCTGTCACTGTTAGTGATGGAGTGTCTCTGGGCAGGAAAATTCCAAGCCCCCACATGTAAAGGAGAGACACCTGGGAAGATTATGAGAGCATTTGCAGGCTGTGCATAGTACTAAAAGCTCTGTAGAATCGTTCCACTGCTGCTCTAGTTGGTAACAAATTGAAGCACTTTATAAAATTTGTAGCTCTTCGATAATTTTGAATCACTTTAAAGTGCTCATGCTCCAAACCATAAAGTCTTTCTTAACCACTGCAAACGTATAAAAGGCACATCATCAAAATGACAGTAATCAACTCCTTCAATTTTAGGTGTGAAATTGTTCTGTGTTTTTTCTCATTGTTTTTGTTGTTCACCTGGAGAAAAAAAAGGTCATAAGGACACAGTGCACAAAATCCCCCTTTTTCAACAGCACCAAGTAATGAAATTCTTAAAAGTTCTCAGATGAAGAAATATTTTATTTTAGATAAGCTGTCCGAAGGTAGGGATGTGTGTGTGTGTGTGTGTGTGTGTGTGTGTGTGTGTGATCTGTCTAGAATCCTAAATGAACTGAAAGAGGCCATTTAAAGCTGCAAAGAAGACTTTGCTGATGCAACTCTTTGGGAATGCCCTTGAAATAATATGTACCATGTTGTCTGGGAAAATAAGAGTAGGGATGAAAAAGGAAATGGATTATGCAGTTAAAGTAGCATGAGTTAAAATTACTGTCTTCTAGTTTAAGCCACTATCTGAGGAGCAATGAAACATGTTAACACAATTCCCTAGTTTGCTTTTGTCTTTGAATTATTAAGTCCATCCCATTCAGATTAGGTCCTTCAAGTTAATGACTTATATTAACTCTTTATTTGGTTTGTTCATAACCAAACCAAATAAAACCAAACACTAGTTTATAAACAGAGGCATTTCATCAAACTAGTGCAATAATGTCTTCTATTTTCCAGGACAGGTGAAATTATCTTAACAGAAACATTCTATGTCCAGTTTTAATGCAACTCAAATTTGGTTTACTTGAAAGCATGCATAAAATGAACATACCCTTATAAATTTGAGGCTGCAGTGACGTGCATCACTTTTGTTCCAAACTCTAGCTCACACTAGTTGGCAGAACTAGTTGCATGGCCCCCACCTAACTGGAATATGGCTGGGAAGTGTGGGGAGCAATTACGTATTTAGGAAGCAATAAGTATCTCTGCCACAGCTTCTGCTCACGTCGGCAGATGCACACCACTAATTTTTAAAATCATACCATGTGTTCATAGAGATCTTACTTTCAAGTCTAAGGTGATTATTTTCAAATATATCATGCATTGAAACTTAACTCTCATTTCTATATTTGTACAGTTGGTGGAATAAGGAGCAGATTTTTTTCTCCTGCAAATGAAAACCTAAATTTATAAGATAAGGGCAAAACACAAGCGAGCTCTTATTTGTTTTAGTTCCAGGGGGAAAGAAACAGCTCTCTAGCTGAAGGGGTTATGACTTCTTCCCACTGCAGGTAGACTGTCATAAATACACATGGTGAAGACAGGAGATGAAATTGTTCCAAAAGACTGTGAGTCCCAGAGAAAACAACGTCCTTCCTTGTCCAATCGGGAAGAATGGCATTGCCTTCAGCATATCAGCAGGTGACAGGCTCAGGATGCTCTGGAAAGAGCATACTGAGTGCAGCCCTAACTCTTAACTAGAAGTTAATTTGTCCCAACACAAAAAATCTATCATTTCTATGAAAATATATAGCCAAGAAGCCAAAAACACACTTACATTTCATATATGGCATTGAGGCCTTAATTTAAATATTTCTAACCAGTTGTTTCAGACAGCTTGTATTTATGGCTTACATGCCTCAATTAATTTCAGGGACATTTTAGTGACTGAAGAAAATTCCTTTACAAAGCAGCATTTGGTGGTGGGCCTCTGAACCTAAAACAGAATCATCTGGAGACACTTACCAAGCCAAAGAGGATATGATATTACTTGACCAAAAAAGCATGGATTCTACAAGGTTAACACACTTGTTGTAGAACAAATGGTGACAGAACTGTTTTATGTGAGTCTCCATGTGAATTAGTGTGAACCTAAGGATTCATTAGGAAACAGCTATTATACAAACTACAAAGAGCTCCAGCAGTTCTCAAGGAAGGGAAGATTGCTTTCCTAGGAAGCAGCTGGAAATGGATAGAGTAACTTATTATTGTTTTTGTTTTTTAATTATGCCAAGTTTTTAGTGGGGGGCCTTTTGTGGCAATAGTGAATGGAGAGTCAGGGATACAAAATATCTTACAGTATGTGGGACAATCTTATAACAAAGAATTTCCTGCCAAAAATGGCAGTAATGCTCCAGCTGAGAAATGCTGAGCTAAACAAATACAAAAACTTAACAATAAAAGTTTAAAAAGCATGGAATATTTTTTATATTCCTCCTCTGATAAATCAGAACTCTATCATATATCCAGAGAAACACATATTAGTCTGGAAAAAGAGATAAGATATATCTAGAGTTTCGATAAACTTGAAAAAAAGGTCAATAACATTTTAAGTTGGTTTTCGTTCATAAGTTTAAAATGTAATCTTTGATCCTTTGCTCTTTCTGAACAATGCAGTCCTAGAGGCATCAGGTGGGCTGAGCAAGGTAGGCATCCATGCTGGTGGTAGGGGGGCCTCTGCTATGGTTTGAGTGTTATGTATTCTCCCCCAAATTCATGTGTTGTAACCTAAGATCCAGTGTGATAGTACTAAGAGTTGAGGCCTTTGGAAGGTGATTAGGTCATGAAGGCTCTGCCTTCATGAATGGGATTGGTGCCTTATAAAAGTTCTAGAAGGAAGAGGCTACATCCTTCTGCCCTTCTGTTCCTTCTACCATGTAAGGACAGAGCATTCATCCTCTCTGGAGGAGGCAGCAACAAGCACCAACTTGGAACCAGAGATTGTGTCCTCGCCAGACCCTGAAGTTGCCAGTGCCTTGATCTTGCACTTTCAGCCTCCCAAACTGTGAGAAATAAATTTCTGTTCTTTATAAATTACCCAGTCTGTGGTACTTTATTAGCACAAACAGATTAAGACATTCCTCATGATACAGAGCAGGGAGTTTGAGCCAAAGGAGGTGAGGAGGGCATCCAGGCAGAAAGTGGCCCCAGTACTGATGTTGGAGCTGAAGTGGGTTAAGCAGCTTCTCCACAGAGGGTCAGCAGTGCCAGTCCTGTGGAGGGAGTCACAACCCAGGCAGGATAAATGGAGCATCCACACCATGGGGTGCATGGTGCGGGTGACATGAGATTTGTTACAAACAGGGAGATTGCCTAGTAAGTAAATGTATGAAGGATAACAAGAGACAGGTTTCTCACTGTCAAAGAAGGGAGTTACAAATCTGGAAAAGGAGATAGAATGGATCCTGTTGGCGTTGATTTGGAGGAATTGGAGGTATTAATGTGAATTCACAGTTGTCAATATATACTGATGAATATGAAAGTAAATGTAAATGTGTGTATGTGTGTACACTTGTGTCTGTGTGTGTGTATTCACATATAGTTGACCCTTTGTATCTATGGGGGATTTGTTCCAGGACCCCGTGAGGACACCAAAATCCATGGCATCCCTGATATAAAATGATGTAGTATTTGCATACAATCTACACACATCTTCCCATATACTTTGAACTATCTCGAGGTTACTTATAATACCTAATACAACTTAAATGCTATGTAAATACTTGGTATACTGTTTTGTTTAGGGAATAATGACGAGAAAAAAAGTCTGTACATATTCAGTATGGATGCAAACATTCTTCCCTCCCCCCCGCCCAGATACTTTCAGTCTGCAGTTGGTTGAATCCACAGACGCGGAACCCACAAATACAGAGGGCTGATTGTCCGTTCCACAGTTCTGTTCTCTGTCCACTGTCCACTGTGAAGGTCTAGAAACAATGACAATCGACAAGAAATAAACACACACCTAAATGCTCAGCTTGTGGCTTTAAAAATATCATTATTCACTAAAAGGAACAAGGGTTTCTTGGAGAAGTAATTGACTCCAGAGTGCGGAAAGTGCCAGATGAGTCTGGAATGTCTTGCTATACCAGAAAGTAAAATATGCTCAAAGAATGATGGGGACACATCAAAGGTCACAGGAACCAGCTTGAAGAGGCTTCCTCTGGCTAAATATGGGATAATTTGAGCATCAAAATATGTAATGATAGTAAGAGATAATGATCCATTGAACAAAGATGGGTTTATATGATAAAAATAAATTATTCACTTATATGAAGGACCAAGATATTTGTATTGTTTCAAGGTATCTCTCCACAAAATAGTTAATAATTCAAAGAGATAAAGACTATTTTTACAGAGGCAAACACCGCCTTAATCTAGGACTTTAAGTAGACATCATCGGTAATTGTGTGCCAGCTGAGAAATGAGAAAATCTTGGTATCACTTGTGTGATAATCCTGCCAAAGCTGAATAACCTGAATTTACTCATAAGAAAACATACTGTAAGCCCAAACTGACAGTCATCCTCCAAAATAACTGGTCTGTGAAATGGTTAAGACCATGAAAACCAAGAAAAGACTGAGGAGCGGCCGGGCGCAGTGGCTCACACCTGCAATCCCAGCACTTTGTGAGGCCGAGGCGGGCGGATCACAAGGTCAGGAGATGGAGACCATCCTGGCCAACATGGTGAAACCCTGCCTCTACTGAAAATACAAAAATTAGCTGGGTGTGGTGGTGCGTGCCTGTAATCCCAGCTACTCGGGAGGCTGAGGCAGGAGAATTGCTTGAACCCGGGAGGCGGAGGTTAGAGTGAGCCGAGATCACGTCACTGCACTCCAGCCTGGCAATAAAGCGAGACTCCATCACAAACAAACAAACAAACAAACAAAACTGAGGAACTATTTCATCCTGAAAAGGCTGGAATAACTAAATTTAATTACTTTAATAACTAAATTTTATTCTGCACCAGGTCATTATAAAGGACATTATTGGGACAATTGGTGAAACCTGACTGTGGTCTAAAGTTTAGATGGGAATCATATATCCATATCAAATTCCTGATTTTGATGATTATTGTGATTACATAGGAGAGTGTCTTTGTTTGGAAAAAAAAAAAGAACAAGACACAGACACATTACAATTTTAGTGAGTAAAGAGGCATCTTGTGAGCAATTTGCTATGAAATGGTCCAGCAAATTAAAAATAAATAAATAAATAAATAAGTAAAACATGCCCTCTGTACTGTATTTGCAACTTTTCTATAAGTTTAGGATGGTTTTAAAATAAATAACGATGATAATAAACTTTTTTGAGTTCTTTCTATAAATTAAGCTGTTTACTAAGTCCTAGGGATACGGTAGTATAAAAAAACTCAGTTTCTGCCACCTGGTTCTTACAGTCTAACAGGGAAAACAAGAGTTGAACAAGTAATTAAATGTGCAAGACAGAAAGGTATTCAACTGTAGAGATTCAAAGGATGGCCCCCTGAAAAAGTGATCTTTATGTTAACGCTTTATTGGATTAGTTGGGTGAAGAGTGAATGAGTGTGTGTGCAATGAGACATGGGGATTTTGGATTTTGACAATAGGATATCAATGATAATCATATAATTATGTAAAATCCACTAGATAGTTAAAGAAACTAGTGACTTAAGATGTTCACCATGAGCCCAGGCGAGGTGACTCATGCCTGTAATCCCAGCACTTTGGGAGGCCTAGGCGGGCAGATCACTTGAGGTCAGGAGTTCGAGACTAGCCTGACCAACATGGAGAAACACTGTCTCTACCAAAAATACAAAATTGGCCAGGTGTGGTGGTGCATGCCTGTAATCCCAGCTACTCGAGAGGCTGAGTCAGGAGAATCGCTTGAACCTGGGAGGTGGAGGTTGCGGTGAGACAAGATAGTACCATTGCACTCCAGCCTGGGCAACAAGAGTGAAACTCCGTCTCAAAAACAAAACAAAACAAAAAAACCAGATGTTGACCATCAATCCCAATGGATATTGAAATGTAGATACCAATAGTACATTTAAGCTTCTCAATAAATAGTTTAATTTATTGAGATAATATCATTACTATTAAAATGTGTAAAAGTAGATTAATCTTTGAAAGAAAAACATGTTATAACATTTTAATTTTATTTTTTATTTTTTTAACTTTCATTTTAGGTTCAGGGGTATATGTGCGGGTTTGTTGTATAGGCAAATTGTGTGTCAGGGTTGGCTGTACAAATTATTTCAAAACCCAGATAATAAGCATATTACCTGATTGGCTGTATTTCGATCCTCACCCTCCTCCCACTCTCCACCTGTAAGCAGGCCATAGTGTCTTTTGTTCCCTTCTTTATATCCATGTGTGTGCAATGTTTAGCTCCCACTTGTAAGTGAAACATGCTGTATTTAGTTTTCTGTTTCTGTGTTAGTTCACTTAGGATAACGGCCTCCAGCTCCACCCATGTTGCTGCAAAGGACATGATCTTGTTCTTTTTTACAGCTGCATAGTTTTCCATGGTGTATATGTACCACATTTTCTTTATCTAGTCTACCATTGATGGGTTGATTCTATGCCTTTGATATCATAAACAGAGCTGTGATAAACATATATATGCATGTGTCTTTATGGGAGAACAATTTATATTCCTTTGGGTATATACCCAATAATGGGGTTGCTGGATTGAATGGTAGTTCTGTTTTAAGGTCTTTGAGAAATCACCAAATTGCTTTCCACATAGTTGAACTAATTTACATTCCCACCAGTAGTGTATAAGCATTCTCTTTTCTTTGCAACCTCACCAACATCTGTTATTTTTTTGACATTTCAATAAGATCCATTCTAACTGGAGTGAGATGGTATCTCATTGTGGTTTTTATTTGCATTTCTCCAATGATTAGTTAACATGTTGATTTTAAATAGCTACTTCACTCAAAGACATTCAATATATTTTTATTTATTAGCCCATTTTTTAAACATTATTCTAAGAAGAAGAAACGGTTCATCACTACAACTTCACACTTGGGAAAACTGAGGCAAATTACTTGCACAAGTCCACATAATTATTTAGATGTAGATCCAGGACCACATCCTTAACTTTTAAACCCTTATCAAATTTTTTAAATTACTTGCACTGAAAACTGAGCCATGTTCATAGCTCAGAACATGAAAAAGAAGAAAATATTTTCTACTTCCTTAGGCATAGAAAAAAATAGATTTAGAAAGCAAGAATAACACTGAATCAGTGCAAATATAGTGTTAGTTTATCTGATCAACATCAACTTGAATACTTTTCCCACTATAACCTCACTCAATTTCTCTTCTGTCTCAGACATTTTACATTTTGATGACTATTCTACTTCTAGAAAATTTCAGACCTTTTTTTTTGCAATTCATTCACAAACATAAATGAGCTCCTACTTCCATTCTTCTTAGCCTATTTTATCACAGATCACTTCAAGAAATTAATAAAAGTTGTGAACCTGTTGCTCCTCAAAATGTTTACCTATAGAAATATTTGCATAAAATTTCGGGAGTTTGGTAAGCACCCTCCCTTCTCAATGTATTCTGAGAATGAACCCTTGTAATTCTGTGTGCCAGCCATTGATTATCTCAATTTCATTTTCTGACAACCCTGTATGGAAAATACTGTATGGAAAGTCCTCATAGTACAGTAGAGGTAACTGGGCCATATCAAGTAGCATACATAGGATTTGAATCAATTTATCTTGCCTCTTGTAGTATTTTTAACATATACAAAAGCCTTCAAAAGTCATCCACCTAAACTGGGAGGCTTCCCTTCAGCCTCATCCTTCCAATTAGCTTCTTCTGTGGGTTAACTGTTTTAACCATATTTCCACTCATCTGATAAAAATCAAGTCCAAGAAAGCTACAGGCTCCTCAGGATGCTCATAGAGTTATTATTTTATTAATTATTCTCTTGCTATGTGGTCTCTGAAAAGCCAGCTTTTTTTTATATATACTTTAAGTTCTAGGGTACATGTGCAGAACATGCAGGTTTGTTAACATATGTATACATGTGCCATGTTGATGTGCTGCACCCATTAACTCGTTATTTACATTAGGTATATCTCCTAATGCTATCCCTCCCCACTCCCCCCACCCCACAACAGGCCCTGGTGTGTGATGTTCCCCACCCTGTGTCTAAGTGTTTTCATTGTTCAATTCCCACCTATGAGTGAGAACATGTGGTGTTTGGTTTTCTGTCCTTGCGATAGTTTGCTGAGAATGATGGTTTCCAGCTTCATCCATGTCCCTACAAAGGACATGAACTCATTATTTTTTATGACCGCTTAGTATTCCATGGTGTATATGTGCCACATTTTCTTAACCCAGGCTATCATTGATGGACATTTGGGTTGGTTCCAAGTCTTTGCTATTGTGAATAGTGCCGCAGTAAACATATGTGTACATGTATCTTTATAGCAGCATGATTTATAATCCTTTGGGTATATACCCAGTAATGGGATGGCTGAGTCAAATGGTATTTCTAGTTCTAGATCCCTGAGGAACCACCACACTGTCTTCCGCGATGGCTGAACTAGTTTACAGTCCCACCAACAGTGTAAAAGCGTTCCTATTTCTCCACATCCTCTCCAGCACCTGTTGTTTCCTGACTTTTTAATGATCGCCATTCTAACTGGTGTGAGATGGTATCTCATTATGGTTTTGATTTGCATTTCTCTGATGGCCAGTGATGATGAGCATTTTTTCATGTATCTGTTGGCTGCGTAAATGTCTTCTTTTGAGAAGTGTCTGTTCATATCCTTTGTCCACTTTTTGATGAGGTTGTTTGATTTTTTCTTGTAAATTTGTTTAAGTTCTTTGTAGATTCTGGATATTAGCCCTTTGTCGAATGAGTAAATTGGAAAGGCAGCTTTTTAGAAAACCAGTGTAGCTTCTAGAGTCACTGGAAGCTGCTTTTTAAAGTTTCCAGTGAAGAATGGTCCCTTTGTCCATCTTCTATTTATAACAATCAGGCTGATTATTAATAGGATTGTCACTGGACTTGGCTTTCAAAGTTCTCAACCTTCTCCTTCTGTCTTGTGTACCTCCTTGGTGACAATGTATCCTCATCTCTAGACCATTTCTGTGCCTTTCATCCTCTCTCAATATTAAACAAAGGAAAAACTATATGATAGTCACATGGAGTTTTGGAATAACTAGCTACATGTAACTGAAAATCAGGCAGGTGAAAACAGTACCTCAGCCAATAATTTACCTTTTTGTAATATTTATATGTCTAAATATGAAATAAAAATTTCACCCTCTTGTACTTCTATGCATTAGCAATCAGCAGGCAGATGGACAAGAGTATTGTTGTTGGTTTGACTGATGGATCATTATAATGAGCAAGAGGGAGAGTGTGTTGAATTTATCTAATTCCCATTAGATGAATTAAGCATGGGCATATTCATGTTTTGCAGAGCCTGAAGCATAAACAATTTGGGGATCCTCTTTAAGAAAAATAGGTCAGGCGCGGTGGCTCACGCCTGTAATCCCAGCACTTTTGGAGGCTGAGGCAGGTGGATCATGAGATCAGGAGATCAAGACCATCCTGGCCATCATGGTGAAACCTCGTCTCTACTTAAAATACAAAAATTAGCCGGGCATGGTGGCTCGTGCCTGTAGTCCCAGCTACTTGGGAGGCTGAGGCAGGATAATTACTTGAGCCAGGGAGGCGGAGCTTGCAGTGAGCCGAGATCGCGCCACTGCACTCCAGCCTGGGCGACAGAGCGAGACTCCATCTCAAAAAAAAAGAAAAGAAAAATATATAATTATGTAGACACGATTAGGTTAAAAAGTGGATATTTACTTAGAATAAAATATCATATCAAATCTCAATTATTATAACACTGAAAATAACACAAATGTAAAAATACCCAGAAAAATAATATTTTTATTAGGTGACCCACCTCTGGCCCAGCATCACATGACATGATGCTGGATGAATCAGCACGCTGGGAGTTAGGAATATCCTAGAAGTTAGTCCTATATTTAGATGGCAGGCAAAACTTAACTGTACATGGGAGTGGCAGAACACCACATAAATATACTTCACCAAGCCCAAATGACATGCATCAACAATTCAACTTTCCTTGGCCAAATGCCCAGCCATTCCAACCAACTTCACCCAACCTCAGGGGCTTTGCAAGTCGGGGGGATGTCTGAGTGGAATCACCACCCATCTTAACTACAATTTTTTCAGGTAATGTTAACATTGTAGGACACCTAGGAAAACAGCTGGTGCAACTTTTATAATTTTGCCTAGTAGCAAATGATTGTCTTCTTTTGAGATTGACACATGATATTGGCCTTGGCACTGAATGTGGAAAGACACTCCCCTGTAAGTCTGCCTCTCTTCTCTCTGCAGGAGAGAACTCATACCTTCATCCATTTTCTCTAACATGAGCCCACCTCTAAGCTTCTCTAGCTGTGTCTCTGGATAAATATATCCTCTATACACTTAGTGATTTCTGCTACATGTGTTTTATTAGCAACTACAAAGATAAAGTTTTAGGAAAGGGACTCAGACTATTTTCTTTTCCTTCATCTTATGGATAAAGAATCCCTCTCACAGCAGGAGTATAAATTATAAAAGGTTATAATTCAGATTCCCAGGCATCTAAAATAGTGTTTTAAATAATGTTTTATACTGCTCCCCTGTATCTGTGATAGAGAATTTCTCTTTTCTTTTCAGTATTATTCCAACTGAAGTTTGAAGTTTTCGCTTTGAATAATCTGTCTTTTCTTAACATTGAGCCAACTTTCAAGACAGCTTTGGTCCTCCATAAAGTTTTCTCTAGATATCAAATTTGTATTAGTCCTTTATGAAGCACTTACCATACTGTGTGGCAACTATGTCTCTAAACTAGATTATGAGCCATTTAGGGGCAAAGAATGTCTTGTTCACATTTACATGCACAATACACACATTACAGTGGCAAATAGCAACCACTAAATGTTTGCTGGACAAACTAATGCACATTTTAATAAAGAATACACATCACTAAAACATCCACACACTTACTTTAGAGAGGCATGACTATCAATGAGAACATTTGAAACTTCGCCTGGCTTTTTTCATTTAATTGTTATCATGCAAGGCAATAGCAGTTGTGGAAGTTGATAGAGGTTTTAATTATTTTCAGATAACCTCAAAAGGTTAGGCAGTGGAACTTTTAACTCTCGCAATCTAAGAAGAAAAATGCCTAGCTCACTGCACCCTAAAACACAAAAGCCCACAATTAACCTTTTTTGGGTTCTGTTAAAAACAGATTTACATCACTTACTTTCTGAATCCATTGCCCTGAGGTACCATCTTCTCTAGTCTTCATTTTCTTCTTCACTGGTAAGAGTTAATAAAGGAGTCTTTTACATGGGTTCTGAAATTTGGAAAAAGCTGGCATGTCCTCCTACCACTGGATGCCAGGGAGATTGTGGGAAATCTTTGTTTTATTTTACTTGGTTCTTCTGCTTTGATTTCCTTTGCCTGAGGGTCCAGAGGTATAGGATACCCATCCACACTCTTAAATATAGGTAGAGAAAGATATAAGAAAACACCATGGAACAATAATATTTTGGCTCTGCTTAGGAAGAGGAGCAAATCTCTGAGTTGTCAGGAATTGATTTTCTAAAGGATATGGATCTCAGACTTTTTATTTCAGGGACCAATATCAACTTTTTATACTGGCAGACCAGACCTAGTATTAGCACCATTTCAAAGCAAAATATATTTTAACATGACAAACTCTACAATCTCAGAATAAGGAATAATTATTTATATTGTATCAATTTAGCTTCATGAAAAATATATTACATTGTCCTATTCTTATTTTGCTACAGAACAGCAAAAAACACCATTACATTTAGAAACCTGACTGGGAGCTCTGGTCTTACTCTCTCCACATTCCTGAAATCTAATATTTATATAATTTTCATAAACATTTGGATAAACTTTATAAATTTTTTAATAAACTTTTTATTTTATTATTCTAAATAATTTTTTGTTTTAATATTTCTATATTTTAGAATAATAAAGTAACAACTTTATTTTAAAATAATTTTGTATTTATAGTTTTTCTCCCTTATCCATAGGGAATATGTTCTTTTTTTTTTTGAGTTGGAAAATTTCTTTTTCTTTCTTTTTTTTTTTTTTTAATTATACTTTAAGTTCTGGGATACATGTGCAGAACGTGCAGGTTTGTTACACAGGTAGACACATACAATGATGGTTTGCTGCACCCATCAACCCATCATCTACATTAGGTATTTCTCCCAATACTATCCTTCCCCTAGCCCCCCAACAGGCCCTGTGGTGTGATGTTCCCCTCCCTGTGTCCATGTGTTCTCATTGTTCAACTCCCACTGAGTAACAACATGCAGTGTTTGGTTTTCTGTTCCTGTGTTAGTTTGCTGAGAATGATGGTTTCCAGCATCATCAATATCCCTGCAAAAGACATGAACTCACCATATTTTATGGCTGCATAGCATTCGATTGTGTATATTTGCCACATTTTCTTTATCCAGTCTATCATTGATGGGTATTTGGGTTGGTTCCAAGTCTTTGCTATTGTGAACAGTGCCACAGTAAACATACAGGTGCATGTGTCTTTATAGTAGAATGATTTATAATCCTTTGGGTATATACCCAGTAATGGGATTGCTGGGTGAAATGGTAATTCTAGTTTTAGATCCTTGAGGAATCACAAAGTCTTCCACAATGGTGGAACTAACTTATACTCCCATCAACAGTGTAAAAGTGTTCCTATTTCTCCACATCCTCTCCAGTATCTGTTGCTTCCTGACTTTTTAATGACTGCCATTCTAATTTGCGTGAGATGGTATCTCATTGTGGTTTTGATTTGCATTTCTCTAATAACCAGTGATGATGAACTTTTTTTCATGTTTGTTGGCTGTATAAATGACTTTTTTTGAGAAGTGTCTGTTCATATCCTTTGCCCACTTTTTGATGAGGTTGCTTGTTTTTTTCTTGTAAATCTATTTAAGTTCTTTGTAGATTATGGATATTAGCCCTTTGTCAGATGGATAGATTGCAAAAATTTTCTCCTATTCTGTAGGCTGCCTGTTCACTCTGATGAGAGTTTCTTTTGCTGTGCAGAAGCTTTTTAATTTAATCAGATCCCATTTGTCAATTTTGGCTTTTGTTGCCATTGCTGTTGGTGTTTTAGTCATGAAGTCTTTGCCCATAACTATGTCATGAATGGTATTGCCTAGGTTTTCTTCTAGAGTTTTTATGGTTTTAGGTCTTAAGTTTAAGTCTTTAATCCATCTTCAGTTAATTTTTGTATAAAGTTTAAGGAAGGGATCCAGTTTCAGTTGTCTGCATATGGCTAGCATTTTCCAACACCATTTATTAAATAAGGAATCCTTTCCCCATTGCTTCTTTTTGTCAGGTTTGTCAAAGATCAGATGGTTGTAGATGTGTGGCGTTATTTCTGAGGCCACTGTTCTGTTCCATTGTTCTGTATATCTGTTTTTGTACCAGTACCATGCTGTTTTGGTTACTGTAGCCTTGAAGTATAGTTTGAAGTCAGGTAGCATGATGCCTCCAGCTTTGTTCTTTCTGCTTAGGATTGTCTTGGCTATGCAGGCTCTTTTTTGGTTCCATATGAAGTTTAAAGTAGTTTTTTCCAATTCTGTGAAGAAAGTCAATGTAGCTTGATGGGGACAGCATCAAACCTAGGGCATTATGGCCATTTTCAAGATATTAATTCTTCCTATCCATGAGCATGGAATGTTTTTCCATTTCTTTGTGTCCTCTCTTATTTCCTTGAGCAGTGGTTTGTAGTTCTCCTTGAAGAGGTCTTTCACATCCCTTGTAAGTTGTATTCCTAGGTATTTCATTCTCTTTGTAGCAATTGTGAATGGGAGTTCAGTCATAATTTGGCTCTCCCTTTATCTATTATTGGTGTATAGGACTGCTTATGATTTTTGCATACTGATCTTGCATCCTGAGACTTTGCTGAAGTTGCTTATCAGCTTAAGGAGATTTTGGGCTGAGACGATGGGGTTTTCTAAATATACAATCATGTCATCTGCAAACAGAGACAATTTGACTTCCTCTTTTTCTACTTGAATACCCTTTATTTCTTTCTCTTGCCCGATTGCCATGGCCTGAACTTCCAATACTATGTTGAATAGGAGTGGTGAGAGAGTTCATCCTTGTCTTGTGCTGATTTTCAAAGACAATGCTTCCAAGTTTTGCCCATTCAGTATGATATTGGCTGTGGGTTTGTCATAAATAGTTCTTATGATTTTGAGATACGTTCCATCAATGCCTTGTTTATTGAGAGTTTTTAGCATGAAGAGCTGTTGAATTTTGTCAAAGGCCTTTTCTGCATCTATTGAGATAATCATGTGGTTTTTGTCATTGGTTCTGTTTATGTGATGGACTATGTTTATTGATTTGCGTATGTTGAACCAGCCTTGCATCCCAGGGATGAAGCCAACTTGATCATGGTGGATAAGCTTTTTGATGTGCTGTTGGATTCGGTTTGTCAGTATTTTATTGAGGATTTTTGCATCAATGTTCATCAGGGATATTGGCCTGAAATTTTCTTTTTTTGTCATGTCTCTGCCAGGTTTTTGTATCAGGATTATGCTGCCCTCATAAAATGACTTAGGAAGGAGTCCCTCTTTTTCTATTGTTTGGAATAGTTTCAGAAAGAATGGTACCAGCTCCTCTTTGTACCTCTGGTATTATTCAGCTGTTAATCCATCTGGTCCTGGACTTTTTTTTTTTTTTTGGTTGGTAGGCTATTAATTGCTGCCTCAATTTCCGAACTTGTTATTGGTCTATTCAGGGATTCAACTTCTTCCTGGTTTAGTCTTGGGAGGGTGTCTGTGTCCAGGAATTTATCCGTTCTTCTAGATTTTCTAGTTTATTTGCATAGAGGTGTTTATAGTATTCTCTAGTTGTAGTTTGTATTTCTGTGGGATCGGTGGTGATATCCCTTTTATCATTTTTTATTGCATTTACTTGATTCTTCTCTTGTTTCTTCTATATTAGTCTGGCTAGTGGTCTATCTATTTTGTTCATCTTTTCAAAAAACCAGCTCCTGGATTCATTGATTTTTTTGAAGGGTTTTCCCTTTCTCTATCTCCTTCAGTTCTGCTCTCATCTTAGTTATTTCTTGTCTTCTGCTAGCTTTTGAATTTATTTGTTCTTACTTCTCTAGTTCTTTTAATTGTGATGTTAGGGTGTCGACTTTAGATCTTTCCTGCTTTCTCTTGTGGGCATTTAGTGCTACAAATTTCCCTCTACACACTACTTTAGCTGTGTCTGAGAGATTCTCGTATGTTGTATCTTTGTTATCATTGGTTTCAAAGAACATCTTTATTTCTGCCTTCATTTGTTTATTTACCCGGTAGTCATTCAGGAGCAGGTTGTTCAGTTTCCATGTAGTTGTGCGGTT
Organism: Homo sapiens; assembly: GCF_000001405.40. NCBI lineage: Eukaryota > Metazoa > Chordata > Mammalia > Primates > Hominidae > Homo > Homo sapiens. Next base: position 88,171,334 of record NC_000005.10, read on the forward strand.
TTGAGTGAGTTTCTTAATCCTGAGTTCTAATTTGATTGCACTGTGGTCTGACAGACTGTTTGTTTTAATTTCCATTCTTTCGCATTTGCTGAGGAGTGTTTTACTTCCAATTATGTGGTTAATTTTAGAATAAGTGCTATGTGGTGCTGAGAAGAATGTGCAATCTGTTGATCTGGGGTGGAGAGTTCTGTAGATGTCTATTAGGTCCCTTGGTCCAGAGCTGAGTTCAAGTCCTGGATATCCTTGTTAATTCTATGTCTCATTGATCTGTCTAATAATAATGATTGTGTGTCTTGGGGTTGCTCTTCTCTAGGAGTATTTTTGTGGTGTTCTCTGTATTTCCTGAATTTGAGTGTTAGCCTGCCTTGCTAGGTTGGGGTAGTTCTCCTGGATAATATCCTGAAGAGTGTTTTCCAACTTGGTTCCATTCTCCCCGTCACTTTCAGGTACACCAATCAAACATAGATTTGGTCTTTTCACATAGTCCTGTACTTCTTGGATACTTTATTCATTTCTTTCCACTCTTTTTTTCTCTAATCTTGTTTTCTCACTTTATTTCATTCAGTTGATCTTCAATCTTTGATATCCTTTCTTCCAGTTGATTGATTCGGCTATTGATATTTGTGTATGAGTCACGAAATTCTCGTGCTGTTTTTCAGCTCCGTCAGGTCACTTGTGTTCTTCTCTAAACTGGTTATTCTAGTTAGCAATTTGTCTAACCTTTTTTCAAGGTTCTTAGCTTCCTTGCATTGTGTTGGGACATGGTCCTTTAGCTTGAAGGAGTTTATTATTACCCACTTTCTGAAGCCTACTTCTGTCAATTCGTCACCCTCATTCTCCATCCAGTTTTGTTCCCTTGCTGGTGAGGTGTTGTGGTCCTTTGGAGAAGAGGCATTCTGGTTTTTTGAATTTTCAGCCTTTTTGCACTTGTTTCTCCCCATCTTCGTGGATTTATCTATCTTTTGCCTTTGAAGTTGGTGACCTTCAGTGGGGTCTCTGAGTGGACATCCTTTTTGTTGACGTTGAAACTATTCCTTTCTGTTTGTTAGTTTTCCTTCTGACAGGCCTTTCTGCTGCAGGTCTGCTGGAGTTTGCTGAAGGTCCACTCCAGACCTTGTTTGCCTGGGTGTCACTGGTGGAGGCTGCAGACCAGCAAAGATTGCTGCCTGTTCCTTCGTCTGGAAGCTTTGTCCCAGAGGGTCTCTTGCCAGATGCCAGCCAGAGCTCTCCTGTATGAGGTGTCTGTCAACCCCTGCTGGGAGGTGTCTCCCAGTCAGAAGGCACAGGGGTCAGGGACCCACCTGAGGAGGCAGTCTGTCTCTTATTAGAGCTCAAATGCTGTGTGGGTAGATCCACTGCTCTCTTCAGAGCTGCCAGGTAGGGACATTTAAGTCTGCTGAAGCTGCTCCCACAACCACCCCTTCCCCTTGGTGCTCTGTCCCAGGGAGGTGGGGGTTATATCTATAAGGTGGGGCTGCTGCCTTTTTTTCAGAGATGCCCTTCCCAGAGAGGAGACAGTCTGGCCTCAGTGGCCTTGCTGAGCTGGGGTGGGCTCCGCCCAGTTCGAACTTCCTGGAGGCTTTGTTTACATTGTGAGGGTGAAACCGCCTACTTAAGCCTCAGCAATGGCAGATGTCCCTTCCCCCACCAAGCTCCAGTGTCCCAGATCGAGCTCAGACTGCTACTGTGCTGGCAGCGAGAATTTCAAACCAGGGGATCTTAGTTTGCTGGGCTCCCTGGGGGTGGGACCAGCCGAGCCAGACTACTTGGCTCCCTGGCTTCAGCCCCCTTTTCAGGGGAGTGAAGGGTTCTGTCTAGCTGACGTTCCAGGCACCACTGTGGTATGAAAAAAAACTCCTGCGGCTAGCTTGGTGTCTGCCCAAAAGGCCACCCAGGCCACCCAGGGTCCTGGTGATGTAGGCACTGGAAAGAATCTCCTGGTCTACGGGTTGCAATGACTGTGGGGAAAGAGCAGTATCTGGGCTGGAGTGCACAGTGCAGTCCCTAATGGCTTCCCTTGGCTGGGAGAGGGAGTTCCCTGACCCCTTGTGCTTCCCGGGTGAGGCAACGCCCCACCCTGCTTTGGCTCACCCTCCTTGGGCTGCACCCACTGTTTAACCAGTCCCAGTGAGATGAACTGTGTACCTCAGTTGGAAATGCAGAAATCACCCGCCTTCTGCGTCGATCTTGCTGGGAGCTGCAGACCAGAGCTGTTCCTATTCAGCCATCTTGCCAGCAACCCTCTGGGAGTATGTTCTAAAACCCCAGTGGATGCCTGAAACCACAGATAGCACCAAACCCTATACATACTATGTTTTTTTCCTATACATATAATAAGATCTAATTTATAAATTAGGCACAGTAAGAGATTAACAATAAAATGAAAACATTATAACACCATACTAATAAAAGTTATGTGAATGTGGTCTCTCTCTCTTTCTCTCAAAATAGCTTATTGTACTGTACTCACCCTTCTTCTTGTGATCTGTCAATCTGATAACCAAGGCAACTATTAAGTGACAATTGAGTGGGTAGCATATACAGCATGGATACACTGGACAAAGGGATGATTTATGTTTTGGAGTGGGACAGCAAGAGATTTCATCCTGCTGCTCAGAATAGTGGCAATTTAAAACTTGTAAATTGTGTATTTCTGGAATTTTTCATTTAATATTTTCAATGGTTGATCATAGGTTGATTACTGAAATCACAGAAATCAAAACTGCAGATAAGGGAGAGCTATCATACAGAAAAATAGCAAAGATAGTACAGAGAGCTCCACATCCCCTAAACCCAGGTACCCATATTATCAACATCTTATATTAGTATGGTACATTTATTATAACTAATAAACCACTTTTGATACATTACCTGAAGTCCATACCTCATTCACATTTCCTTAGTTTTTATCTAATGTCCCTTTTCTGTTCCAGGATCTTATATAGTACACCACATTACATTTAGTTGTCATGTCTCCTTAGTCACTTCTTGTTTTTAGGTTTCTCTGAATTTCCTCGTTTTGGGTATTCTTGAAATTTCTGAGTAGTACTGGTCAGGTATTTTGCAAAATGTTCCTCAGTTGGGATTTTGCTGATATTTCTTTCATGATTCGACTGGTATTATGGGTTTGTGGGAGAAACACCACAGAGGCAAAATGCCATTCTCATCCCATCATATCAACAGTACAAACTATTAACATAACTTATCATTGCTGATGCTAACCTTTATCACTTGGCTAAGGTGATGTTTTTCAGGTTTCTTCATTATATAGTTATTCTTTTTCTCCTTTTCATACTGTACTTTTCCTAGGAAAGTCACTTTGCATTTTCCACATTTAAGAAATGAGGAGTTGGGCTGGGTGTGGTGACTCATGCCTGTAATCCCAGCACTTTGGGAGGCCGAGGTGGGTGGATCATGAGGTCAGCAGTTCAAGACCAGCCTGACCAACATGGTGAAACCTCGTCTCTACTAAAAATATAAAAAAATTAGCTGGGCGTGGTGGTGGGCGCCTGTAATCCTAGCAACTTGGGAGGCTGAGGCAGGAGAATTGCTTGAAACTGGAAGGCGGAGGTTGCAGTGAGCCGAGATTATGCCACTGCACTCTAGCCTGGGCAATAAGAGCAAAACTCTGGCTAAAAAGAAAAAAAGAAAAAAGAAATGAGGAGTTATGCTCACCTTCCTTGAGGGTGGAAGATGTATGCAAATTATTTGGAACTGATCTGCATTGGAGATTTATCTGTTCTGCCCCATTTATTGATTTATTCAACCATTTATTTCCATCAGTATGGACTCATGGATGTTCACGTTATGCTTCGGGTTATAATTTAATACCACTTTACTGTGCTGCTCAAATTTTTCCAGTTTGAACATTGGGAGCACTTTTCAGTTGGCTCCTGTGTCCGTTTGACATAGTCTTATTATTTTTTTTTCCTATTTTTTTGTTGGGTTTGACTTTGGTTCTGGCTTTTCTGTTGGTGGTAGCAGTGGTGGTTTTTGTTTGTTTTGTTTTGAGTACTTCTTGTACATTCTGGCACAAGATGTTCCATGCTCATCTTGTATATTTACTGCCCCAATTCTAGAATCGGCCATTTCTTCAAAGAGCCCTGGTTCATTTGTTGACTAATGGTATTAGAAACCAAGATATGGTGGAGGTTGCAGCGAGCTGAGATCGCACAACTGAACTCTAGCCAGGCAGAGCCAGACCCCATGCCTCCTACCCCCACAAAAAATAAAAGAAACCAAGATATTGGTGCCAGGAATAATGCACTGTGTAGCTTTTTCAGATTGGCTTCTTTCACTTAGCGATATGCAATTGGGATTCATCTAAGTCTTTGTGTGACTTCATAATTTATTCTTTTTCATTGCTGAGTAGAACTCCATTGCATGGATGTACCATAGTTTGTTTATTCATCCACCTATTGAAGAACATCTTGGTTACTCCCAGTTTTTGGTGATTATGAATAAAGCTGATATAAACACTTGTGTGTAGGGGTTTGTATTGACATAAGTTTTCAAAGGAGTTGAATAAATACCTTAGGAGTGTGGTTGCTGGATGGTATGGAAGAACGTTTCTTTTTTTTATTTCCAACTTTTAAGTTCAGAGGTACATGTGCAGGATGTGCAGGTTTGTTACATAGGTAAACATGTGCCATGGTGGTTTGCTACATAGATTATCCCATCACTCAGGTACTAAGTCCAGCATCCATTAGCTATTCTTCCTAATGCTGTCCATCCTCCCATGCCCCACCCTCTAATAGGCCCCAGTGTGTGTTGTTTCTCCTGATGTGTCCATGTGTTCTCATCATTTAGCTCCTACTTATAAGTGAGAATATGTGGTATTTGGTTTTGGTTTTCTGTTCCTGCATTAGTTTGCAAAGGATAATAGCCGCCAGCCCCATCCATGTCCCTGCAAAGGTTATGATCTAATTCCTTTTTATGGCTGCATAATATTCCATGGTGTATATGTACCAGATTTTCTTTATCCAGCCTACCATTTATGGGTATTGAGGTTGATACCATGTCTTTGCTATTGTGGATAGCGCTGCAATAAATATATGCAGGCATGTATCTTTATAATATTAATAGAATGATTTAGGCCCAGCATGGGGGCTCATGCTTGTAATCTCAGCACTTTGGGAGGCCAACACGGGTGTTTTGCTTGAGCACAGGAGTTTGAGACCAGCCTGTGCAACATGACAAAATCCCATCTTTACAAAAAAATACAAAAATTACCCAGATGTGGAGACACATGCCTATAGTCTCAGCTACTTGGGAGGCTGAGGTGGGAGGATTGCTTCAGCCTGGGAGACCGAGGTTGCAGCAAGCCAAAATCATGCCACTGCACTCAAGCCTCGGTGACAGAGCCAGACCCTTTCTCAAAATAATAATAGTAATAATAATAATAATAGAACAATTTCTTTTTATTTATTTTTTTTTTTGCAGTTGCAAGATTTAATAGAGTGAAATAGAGTGAAAACAGAGCTCCCATACAAAGGCAGGGGACCCAAAGGGGGTTGCCGTTGCCGGCTCGAATGCCTGGGTTTATATCCCGATCCTTGTCCCTCCCGCTGTGCTCCCAGGCAATAGATGATTGGCTACTTCTTTACCTCCTGTTTTTGCCTAATTAGCATTTTAGTGAGCTCTCTGATTGGTTGGGTGTGAGCTAAGTTGCAAGCCCCATGTTTAAAGGTGGATGTGGTCACCTTCCCAGCTAGGCTTAGGGACTGGGAAATCCAGCTAGTCCTGTCTCTCAGTCCCCCGTCTCAACAGGAAAACCCAAATGCTGTTGGGGAAGTTGGCCGATGACGGCTCTAACTGCTTCCTGCTGAACTGGGGCATAGTAGGAGTTGTGCAGTTGAGATTTCCTTGGGAGGGGTGCCTTCGATGTCATTAACATCAGAGCATGGGCTAGCAGGCCGGTCCAGGAGTCCGTGGTGGATCTTAGTCATGGACTGCATCTGGGGCTCCATTTGAAGAACCATTTGTAGTTTTACAGTTTCAATTCATTTTGGAGGTCCCTTCATGGTTGCCAAAATGTTACCGGGGGGTCCTTGCTCACAGAGCTCCCAAGATGGTGGTGGGCCACTTCCAAGATGGTAACAAGCCTTGTGTTCTCTGACCTGGGGTTCTGGGCCTTACGGATTCCAAGGAATGGAATCTTGGGCCATGTGGTGAGTGTTATAGCTCTATTAGAAGCTGTGGGTCATGGAAGAGAACCGTGGAACCCAGTGACTAGCGTTCAGCTCAATTAGGACAAACCCAGGCACTTAGCCGTGCCCGAACAATGGCAAGCCTTTAGCATGATCGGGAGTGGCAATGGGAGTCTCGCTGGATCAGAGGCACAGAGGACACCCTGCCAGATCTGGAGGGATGGGAGTCAGGGGCGGGTCTGCGACAGCGGCAAACAGCAGTGGTGGACAGCGAGAGAAAAGCTCAGCTCGAGCCGTAACAAACATGGACGAGAAGAATGCAGTTGTAAAATTTAATAGAGTGAAATAGAGTGAAAACAGAGCTCCCATACAAAAGGAGGGGACCCAAAGGGGGTTGCCATAACAGAACAATTTTTATTCCTTTGGGTATATGCCCAGTAATGGGATTGCTGAGTTGAATGGTATTTCTGCCTCTAGGTCTTTGAGGAATCACCACATTGTCTTCCACAATGGTTGAACTAATTTACACTCCCATCAACAGTGTAGAAGCCTTCCTTTTTCTCCACAACCTCACCAGCATCTGTTGTTTTTTGACTTTTTAATAATAGCCATTCTGACTGGTTTGAGATGGTATCTCATTGTGGTTTTGACTTGCATTTCCTAACAGTCAGTGATGTTGAGCTTTTTTTCATATGTGAAAAACTTTTCTTTATAAGACACTGCTAAATTGTCTTCCAAAGTGATTGTACCATTTTACGTTTCCACCAGGAACAAATGAGAGTTCTTTTTTCACATCCCTGCCAGCAATTGGTATTGTTGGGTTTTTGAATATTAGCCATTCCAATTGGTAATGTAGTGATGGCTCATTGCTATATTATATATACACATATATGTATTTTATTTATAAATATATGATTCAGTGAATAAATGAATCATTACATGTAATAACATCATAGTACATTAACAGAGGCAGCCTTAGACTACTACTCTTTCCCAACTCCTGACTCCTCTAGAAAAGCTTATATGTTAAGGCAGTAGGACTCTGACCCAGAGTAACAGACAGCTTTTACACTGTCTAGATACATATAAGAACTGAAAATTCTTAATTTGTCCAAGAGCAACATAATAAGTCTGAATATTTAACTGTTATACATATATTATTTATATTTACATACTATTTAAAACTATTAAAAGTCTGATCCAAAAATGAATGTCAAATGCCAAATAATAACAAATCCTATAATTAGACATTGGTATAAATAGGAACCTAATAATAGCTGCTTAGAATCTATTTGTCTTCTTTATTATTAAAAATAGCATACACACTCCCCAGTTATCAAGTAATCAATCAAGGATTGGGTGCTATGCTTTAAAGGATTACATGATGTTCCTTTTGGTTCATGATATGCAGGAGCTAAGAAGAACCAGGTTGTGTGGTATTTAGAGAAATAATGTGAGCAACCACCCAACTGAAAGTTAAAATAATTATTGACCTTTGATCTTACAGTTGCTGTATTATTTAGTTGGCATCACTTAAAACCAAAGTTATCAAACATATAAGAGTTATCACCACATTCAAGAGCAAGCAAGATAATTTTCAAAGTTTAAACTGATTAACAATGTTGAAAACAATTCTTAAAAATGCTGATTGAAACATCAGTTTGTACATTTACAAGTCCATTCTTCAATATCTATTTGGTAATCCCAATCAGTATGATTAAGATTTTAAATACTAAAATACTATTACTAAAATTATAAAAAGTTTTATTGTAGCCATTTTAGACTTTCATATTCAGCAAATAGGATATCAGATTAGCTTTTTTTTTTTTTCAGGAGTGGGCAGGAGTAAAATTAAGATTTTAAAATAAATATATTTTTATGTATGATTTCATGATGTTTGCTGGGTGGGGGGAGCTCCACTATTTTAACAGCCTATCATATACTTATCAGTAGCATCACTAATTTTAGCTGTTTCTCAGAAGCATCACAGTCATATAGGAAACTGCACATATTATAACTCCACAGCTTGAATTTTCACAAATGGAACACAACTCTGTAGCTAGCACCTAGATTCAGAAGCAAGATAGTTTCAGCACCTCAGAAGCCCCCTTCAAGCTACTTTGCAATCATTACACCACCCAGATTTCCAACAGCATGTTTGTGTTTTAGTACTTTGCATAAATGGAATTGCAGTGTCTTTTGTTGCATGTTGTCTTAGTATCAATGTTTGTGAGATTCATCTACATTGTTGCATATAGACTATTTCTTCCCATTGCTATACACTACATCTACTATTTCATTGTGACTCTACCACAATTTATCCATTTTGATGGATATTGTGTATTTCATTGTGACTCTACCAGGATTTATCTATTTTGATGTCACTCATTGTGAATGTACCACAATTTATCTATTCATTCTAATGTTGAAGGACATTTTAATATTTCCCCATTTGGGACTAAAGTGCTATTATCTATGGTGTAGTACATGTCATTTAATAACATGTATGGAATTTGGGGGGTAAATACTTACCAGTGAAATTGTCACAAGGAAACACGATCAGCCTTAGAAGAAAATGACTAAGTATTTCAGTTTAACATGTATAGCAATTAGGATACATAGCAATATATAGCAATTGCTTAGAATGTACAGCAATTTAAATCCTCATTTACGTTGTGAAAGTTCTTCACATTCTTGCCAATGCTTGTTATTTTCCATCTTTTGTTTCTTATTTTACCAACAAGAATGAGGTTGAAGATATTTTCCACCTTTTCAAACTTAGCCCTTTTGTTAGATGTATAGTAGTACCACACTGTACTTTAATTTTCCTGATAATTAATGAAGTCATGCATGTTTTCATGTTATTGACCACTCGGATATCCTCATTTGTGACATCCATTTTCTTTTTTTTTTTTGGTGTCTTTTAAAAATATATAAATATAATTGATTGTAAGTATACTTTGTAGATTCTGGGTATGAGGTGTTTTGGAAAGTTTTTTAAAATCTCATTACAAGGTCTTATTTTACCCTCCTGATGGTATTTTTCTCTTGTGAACAGAGTTTTTTAATTTTAATATAGTCCATTTAACCAATTTTCTTTATAAGCAGGTTTTTTTTGGTCCAGTTTCCCCAGTTTTGCCTAGTCAAAAATCACATGTAGGTTAAACCTGCAATCTGTCTGTAATTTTTTGTATGGTCTGAGAAAAGGGTCAACATACACTTTTATTCTGTATAGATATGCAACTGATTCATCATCATTAAATGAAAAGATCACTTCTTGTACTTATTTGCAGTATGACTTGTAACAAAGGATAAATGCTTGAGGTGATGGGTACCCCATTTACTCTGATGTGATTATGCATTGCATGCCTGTATCAAAATATCTCATGTATACACCTACTATGTAGCCACAAAAATTTAAAGTTTAAAAAAAATTAAAGTAGGTGTTTGTGTGTGTATGGGTCAGTTCCTGGAATTTCTGGTCTGTTTTATTGGTCATATTTCTCTAAAACCACTTAGCAATAGCACATCGACTTTATTAGAAGAACTTTAGAATGTATCATTTTCTCTGGGTTCTTCTTTTTCAAAATTGCATCAACAAATCTTGGTTTTTTGTACTCCATATGAATTTTTAAATCAATTTACTAGTTTCCACAAAGATAGCTGCTGGGCTTTTTATTGAGACTGTACTGAAATTGTAGATTTGAGGGATTGACATCTGTGCAATAATACTTTATATATCTCTCCATTTATTTAGAAATTCTTCACTTACAAAAATGTTTTGTAATTTTTCAGTGAGGAGGTCTTGGCACATCTTTTATTAGATTTAGTCTTATGTATTTGGGGGCTTTTGATGTTACGGTCAATGGCAACATTTAAAAATATTGTTTTCAGTCAGTTGCTGTTATGTGAAAACACAACTAATTTTTTAAATATTGACCTGTGTACAGCAACCTTGCAAATACAGTTTAGTTTTTATATTTTTATGAGGAATTTTAAATACATATTTTAGGTACACATACACAATCATATTGAATAGTGAATAATGACAGTTTTGACCCTTCTAATCTTAATGTTTGTTTGTTTTGATCTTGCGTTACTTTACTGCCTAGGACCTCCAGTACAAGACTAAATGGAAATGGTCATAGTAGGAATCCTTGTCTCATTTCTGAACACAAGAGAAAAGTCTTCAATAACATGCTTCATGATTAATGTTTGCTGTTGGTTTTTAGTAGATAATCTTCCTCCAATTAAGGGTGCTTCTCTCTCATCCTAATTTTCTGAAAAGCTTTATTGTGAATGGCTATTACATTTTGTCAAATGCTTTTCCTGAATCATAAGATTTAGTTTAGCTGTTTGCATTTTTTCCTCTCAATCTGATAAATTATGTTAACTGGCTTTTAGATGTAAAATGAACCTGGATTAAATCTCACTTGGTATGATGCATATATCACTAAATTGGATTAGCTAATATTTTTACTAAGGGTATTTACATCTATAATTATGAGAGAGATTGGTTTTTAATTTGTTCCTTTCTTGTAATATGCCTGTCAGATTCTGCAGTCAATATTACCTTGCCTTATAAAAAGAGTAAGGAACCATTCACTCTGGAAGAGTTTGTGCAAAATTGTTATTATTTCTTCCTCAACTATTGGGCAAAATTTGCAGATAAAGCCATCTGGGCTATGAATTTTCTTTGTACAGAAATTTTTAAATAATGGATTTCCTTTACTTAAGATTTTTCTATTTCTTCTTTTGCTGCTTTGGTAATTGCCTTTTCCAATAAATGTTTCGCTTCATTTGTCAAATTTATTGATGTAAGGCTGTTCATAATACAGATTATCTCTTATCCAAAATGCTTGCAACCAGAAGTGTTTCAGATTTGGGGTTTTTTTCTGGTTTTGGAATATTTTTGCATTATACTTACCAGTTAAGCATTCCAAATCCAAAAGTCTGAAATCCAAAATGCTCCAATTAGTACTTCCTTTGAGCATCATGTGGGCACTCAAAAAGTTTTGGATTTTGGAGCATTTCAGATCTCATATTATCAAACTTAGGATGCTCAACCTATATACTCTTCATTTTTCAAAATTTCATTATAATATTTCAAGTAATATTCTTGGAAGGTTGAATTTTACAATGAACACACATGTATGCTTCACTTGGATGCTACATATTTTATGTTTTAAAATGTATCTATCAACTCATCACTCATAGTTCTAGCAATTTATCTTATTTCGGTGGGAATTTTTAAGTAAATTACAGATATAGTTCCCCCTAAATATTCTTTGCATATTATTCGAGTTCAATATGTTTAGTTTTTTTCCTCATAGTTTTTTCCTTTTTGGGTAAAATTTACATTAGATGAAATGCACAAATTTTAAGTGGACATCCATTGAATTTTGACAGAGGCATATACCCATTTAACCCAAATCCTACAAGATATAAAACATTCTCATTCCAGAAAGTTTCCTTATGCCTCTTCCCAGTCAATCCCTACCTCTACCCTTCCTGAAAGTCAACCATTCTTCTGATATTTTCCACCGTACATTAGTTTATTCTAGAAATTTATATAAATTGAATTTACAGTATGCACTCTGTTTTAAAAGACTTATTTCAGCATATTAAAGATTCATCCAGGTTTTGCATAAATCATCAGTTTGTACTTTTTTCACTGCTATTATTCCATTGTATATTTATACCAGTGTGTGTACATATTCTACTACTGATAGACACCTGGGCTTTTTTTAGTCTGGGACTACTTTGAATAAAGCTGCTATGAACATTCTTGACCTTTTTGTAGATGTGTTTTTCTCTTGAGTAAACACATAAATGTAAAATTGCTGGGTCACAGGATAGGTATAAATTTAGTTTTATAAGAAACTATTACAACTTTTTTGCAAAGTAGCCATGTCATTTTCATAGTAGTTGTACCACAAAGTATCAGAGTTCCAGTTGCATCATATCCTTGTCTACATTTAGTATAGTGGTATTTCATTTTGATTTTAATTAGCATATCCCTGATGACTAATAATGTTGAGTTACACATCTTTTAAAATTGCATGTGAATGGAAGCCTGTCTCTGAAAGGAATATTACTGGGGGAATAAAAATTCTCTAAGAAGAAATTAAAATCAGAAGCTGGGGACTTCCTCTTCCAATTAAGGTGAAATTAATAGGGAGCAGATTCATTCCTCTATTTTACAAAACTAAATAACTAAAGAAATTCTACTTGAAACCTTGATTGTTCCAGCTTACTGACTTGATTGTCCAGTCACAGCACAGGGGAAAAACTAAACAAAGCCCAGTGGTCTTCCTGAGTTGAGAATCTGGTAAGGCTAAGGGAACTACAATTGACAGAAAAGAGTACCAGAAAGGAAGGCTGCGGTGTGAGGAAGCTCTATCTATAGAGGTTGAAGGTTCCCTCACATCTTCAGCCAAGTTCTGACCAATGCATGCATTTGAGGAAATTTCTAAGTGTTGGGGAAAGAATCACCAAAAAGGACAGGCAGAATAATCCTCTGGATTCATACATGGATAGGAATAGTGTAATTCCTGTTCCCATTAGCCAAAGTAGGAAAACCTTTTAATACGTGGGGCATTGGTAAAGTATTCAAAAGGGTATTGCCTCAGTATGGGTAAAAATTAGCATGAAATTAAAGTCTGATCTCACCTTAAATACAAGCCTCAAAAGAATCAAAACTGCCTCCTTGGTTTCCTACTGACTTAGTTGGATCCCAGCACAAAGCTCAAGAATACAATTATGCACTGGTTAACGATGGAGATAGGTTTTGAGAAATGTGTCATTAGGCAATTTAATCATTGTGCAAACATCATAGGGTGGATTTACACAAACCAAGATGGTGCAGCCTACTACACATCTATGTTATATGGTATAGCCTATTGTTCCTAGGCTACAAACCTGTGCAGTTTCTTACTGTCCTGAATACTGCAGGCAATTGTAACACAATTTTAAGTATTTGTGTATCTCACCATAGCTAAACAGAAAAAGTATAGTAAAAATACAGTATAAAAGATTAAAAATAGTATACCTGTCTAGGGTACTTACCATAAATGGAACTTGTAGGACTGGAAGTTTCTTTGGATAAATCAGTGAGTGATGAGGGAAAGTGAAGGCCTAGGACATTACTGCACACTACTGTGGACTTACAGACACTGTATACATAGGCTACACTAAATTTACAAAGATATTGTCTTTCTTCAATAATTAATTAAACTTAGCTTACTGTCACTTTTTACTTTATAAACTTTTTATTTTTCAATTTTGGGTTCTTGTAATAGCTTAGCTTAAAACACAAATACACAGAGCTGTACAAAAATATTTACTTCCTTTATATGCTTATTCTATATGCTTTTTACTATTTTCAAAGCTTTTTATTTTTATTTTTTAAACTTTTTGTTAGAAAACAAGACACACCTGCATTAGCCTAGGCCTGCACAGCATCAGAATCCTCAATATCCCTGTCTTACCCTCTACATCTTATACCACTGGAAGGTCTTCAGGGGCAGTAACAAGCATGGCACTGTCATCTCCCATGATAACAATGTCTTCTTCTGGAATACCTTCTAAATGACCTGCTTTTTTCTTCTAATAAGTAGGACTATACTCTAAAGTAATAATAAAAAGTGTAACAAATACATGAACCAGTAACATAGTAGCTTATTATTGTTATTAAGTATAATGTGCTGTGTATAATTGTGTGCTAGGCTTTTATATGACTGCCAGTGCAGCAGGTTTGTTTACGCCAGCATCACCACAAACATGAGCAATGCAGTGCACTACAATGTTATGATGGCTACGACATCACTAGGTGATAGGAATTTTTCAACTCCATTATAATCCTATGGGACCACCGTTATATACCCAGTTCATTGTTGACCAAAAAGTTATTATGTAGTACATTACTCTATTTAAGGAAAAAAATACCTTGTACTCAACAGGCAAAACTCATAATGTCTGGAATCCAGTCAACGATTTTCAGTGATGCAAAGAAGCAGGAAAACATGACCCACAATGAAAAGAAAAATCATTCAATAGACACAAGATAAAATTAGTAGACAAGAACATTGAATCTGCTATTATAACTATATTTTATATGTTCAAGAAAGTAGAGGAAAGCATAAACGTATTTTTAAAGACTCAATTTGAACTTAGTTCTAAAGGTTTTTTAAAATGTCTGAGATTGAAAATTTCACTGAATTAGTTAAATACCAGACAGGATGCTGCCAAAAATAAAAAGACAAATTGAAAACATAGCATAGCAATAAAAACTATCCAAAATGAAACACAGAAAGAAAAAAGAAACCTGGAAAAAAATGAACAGAGCAACAATGAGTTGTGGGACAAATTCAGTCAAACAGACCAAAAAATGTTTGTATTGCTTTACAAGTTAGCAACAAATACAGCTGAATAATCATAAACATGGCATTTCTAATTCTCAAATTGGAGGGACAAGACCAGGAAAATGCTCTTCCACTTAAAACACATTTGTTAAAACTGAAATCCACAACTTCTGTCAAGACCTTCAATATTCTCAAGCAAAATCGACACCTATAAAGAGTCAAAGAAAACTATTAATAGTATCAAGTTTACTCCACATGTCTGAGTATGTAACTGAAAGGTCTTACATGTATTTATACAGGCAGTGCTTTTACTAAACATTTTATGTAGCCATCCTAGGCACTTTTAAGAATATAACACCCTTTAAACACATTCTTTTGCAGAAACAGATGTCAAGAAAATTGTAAAGTCCAACGATGCATTGCAATCAAATTTCTCCTCTTTCCTCAGGAGGAAAAACTAGTCAGCCTTTAACGTGGCCTGAAATAAAAAGCCAATGATCAAAGAACCTGAATGAACCCAAGTAATAAGAAACATAAAACAATACCAAGGATCATCATAATCGAATTGCTAGAGGTTGAACACTTTTTCATGTGCTTAATGGTCAACTGTGAAGTGCCTATTCAAATGTCTCACCCATTTCCTAATCTATTTTTTTTAATTCTTTATATATCCTGATTCCAGTCTTTTGTCTCGTTTTGCAAGTATTTTATTTCAAGTTTTAACATGTCTATTTCCTTTTTTTGATGAGCATAAGTTTTTAATTTCTATGAAATCTTTTATTATTAAAAACCATTTTATGGGGGCCAAGTGCGGTGGCTCACACCTGTAATCCCAGGAATTTGGGAGGCCAAGGCAGGTGGATTAGCTGAGGTCAGAAGTTCGAGACCAGCCTGGCCAAAATGGTGAAACGTCTCTACTAAAAAAAAAAATTAGCCACACGCCTGTACTCAGGAGGCTAAGGCAGGAGAATTGCTTGAACCCAGGAGGCAGAGGTTGCAGTGAGCTGAGATTGTGCCACTGCACTCCAGCCTGGGCAACAAAGTGAGACTCTGTCTCAAACAACAACAACAACAACAACAACAACAAACCAATTTTATGGTTAATACTTTGTGTCCTAAGAAATCTCTATCCACCACTAATTGCCAAACTATGTTGTAGCTTTTACATTTGGCTCTTGAATTGATTCTTGTGTAAAGTATGAGGTGGGGATTGAGGTTCATTTTTTTAAAATGTGGACATCCAATTATTCTAGCACCAGTTGTTGCAATGACTCTCCTTTCCCCATTGTATTGCTTTGACACCTTTGTCAAAAATTAAATGAGTGTGTAAGTATGAGACTATTTCTCAGCTCTCTCTTTCATTGATCCATTTGTTTGTCTTTATGGCAGAATCACAACATCACTTTATAGTAAATCTTCAAATCCTCTAACTTTTTCCATTGCAAAATACTTTGGACAATCTAAGTACTTTACATTTCCATATAAATTTAAGATCAGATAGAAAACTTTTGTTTGAATTTGGTGAAACTATTATTTGGATTGTGTTGAATTTATATAACATTTGTGTTAATTTATATAACATTTATACAACATTGAGTCTTCCAATACATTCATGTGAAACATATCATTTACTTATGTCTACTTTAATTTCTCTTAACATTTTGTAGAGTTCAGTGTACAGGTCTTATACATGTTGGTAAAAAGCTACTTCTAACTTGCTTTTTGACACTATTGTAACAAGAATTACTAATTTTTCAAGTGTTCATTGCTTGTATTCTTACTTTTTAAATGTCTGTAGTCATCTCATATTTTGATTACTGTTTTTTAATTAGCATTGATATGGGTTACTGTTTTTATTTCTCCTTGAACCAATTTTGATAAGAATATAATCAACTTCATTAATCTTTTGGAACAATCGTTTTTAGCTTAATTTTCTCTATTATACATTTGTGTAGTATTTCATTGGTTTTTGCTGAATTATTCCTTTAATTCTACTTTCCTTAGGTTTGATGATCTCTTATAGCTTCTTGAATGGGAAACTTTAAATTTTGTTCTACAATGGGTTAAATAGCATCAAAATTTGATGTCATGTTCTTTACCTTTCAAAATACTTCATAGTTTCTTTTTATTTGCTCTTTAAACAATGAACTATATAGAAATAGAATGCTTAAACTTAAGGCAGTTGAAATTTTGTTCTCTTTCTTATCATTTCTAGCTTAATTCCATGGTGGTCAGAAAACATTACAAATGATTTCAGTATTTTTACTTTTTTTTTGGAGACATGGTTTCACTCTTGTTGCCCAGGCTGGAGTAGAGTGGCATGATCTCAGCTCACTGCAACCTCCGCCTCCCAGGTTCAAGCGATTCTCCTGCCTCAGCCTCCTGAGTATCTGGGATTACAGGTGTGTACCACCATGTCCAGCTAATTTTTGTATTTTTTTTTTTTTTTTAGTAGGGACAGGGTTTCACCATGTTGGCCAGGCTGATTTCAAACTCCTGACCTCAGATGATCCACCCGTCTCAGCCTCCCAAAGTGCTGCGATTACAAGAATGAGCCAATGTGCCTGGTCGTCTTTTTGATCATTTCTAGCTTAATTCCATGGTGATCAGAAAAACATTACAAATAATTTCAGTATTTTTACATTTCTTAATCTATTTTTTATTTGAATGGCCCAGAATGTGGTTGTGATGGTTAATATTGAGTGTCAACTTGATTGGACTGAGGATACAAAAAGTATAAAGGATAAAATAAAGCAGGCAGAAGAAAGTGGAATTGTAGCAGGACGAGCCGCAGAGAAAACTCCTCAGACACTGGATTAAAGAAGGAAGAGGTTTTTTATCCAGCTGGGAGCGTCAGCAGACTCGCATCTTAAGAGCTGAGCTCCCCGAAGACAGAGCTCCTGACCCTTTTAATGGCTTACAGCTCTAAGGGGTTCCATGTGAAAGGGTCTGATGGATTGAGAGCACATGTGGTTAGAGTTGGGGGGGGTGGTTAATCTTTTAACCTCAGGCCGGGTCATCAGTGGCACCGGCTGGTCTTGCCACTGACTTCCTTCTTCTTGTTTTTCAACTTTTACTTCCTCCTCGTCTTCAGACAGGAGACAGTAAGAGAAATGGCTTCTCTCCTCATTCCCCCCTTTGAGAACCTCACTCACTAGCGGGAGTTCTCACTCTCATCTACACTACCCAGGTCTTCCTGCCAGTCCAGTTCCATTGACTCCTAGAGTTACATACTCTCCTGTTTTCCAACAGGGATTAAGTAGTTCTAATGGGTTATAGCACACATCAGTCTGGTCACTTCCTGGGCTGCATACCTTGTACTGGGTGGCATTATACACACAAGTCCTTTTTAAACAAAAAGACTATTTTAACTTTTTTTTTTTAACCCTACCTCAGTCTGAAGAAGGTCAGTTGAAGTCCTTACTGTACAAGTCCAAAATTTAAAAAAATGAGTTCCACAGTGAACTTCCTCATGCTTCGGCTATGCGTGGACCAGTCAGCTTCCGGGTGTGACTGGAGCAGGGCTTGTCTTCTTCAGGGTCACTCTGCAAGGGTTGTCCAGGCTTGGTCTTGCCTTCTAGGTTTCAGGTGCTGCAGGTTTTACATGGCTGTGGTGGATCCAGGCTGGGATTCCCTCTACCTTCACAGCGGTGGGAGTGGTCAGGACGACAATCTGGGGTCCTTTCCACTGTGGGCACAAAGAGGCTACGTTCCAGTCCTTGATCCACACTCAATCACCTGGGGAGAAAGGGTGAACTGGGGAGAATAAGCTAACAGGGCATCTCTCATTTACCCAGGCTGAGATTGTGTAATTTTTCCTAAAGCCTGTAGCTGTCGCTGTAACTCAATTTCACCTAACTCTTGGGGAGTGCCTGGAAGTCCCCACAATATGGGAGGGGGCCTATGATATAGTATTTTATAAGGGGAATATCCTGCTCTTTTAGAAGGGGTACATCTAATTTTAAATAATACCATAGGGAGAGCCTGTATCCATTTTAATCCTTTTTCCTGACATACTTTCCCTAAACTATTTTTGATAGTCTGATTCATCCGCTCCACCTTTCCGGAACTCTGAGGCCAGTAGGCAGCATGCAGTTTCCATGTGATCCCCAGTACCTTTGCCGTCTTCTGTACCAAGTCAGCCACAAACGCCAGCCCATTATCTGAGCCGATCCGTAAGGGCAGTCCAAATCTAGGAATAAGATCTCAAAGAAGCACATGGGTTATTTCACAAGCTTTCTCAGTTCGTGTTGGATAAGCCTCCACCCACCCAGAGAAGGTACACACAAGAACTAGTAAATACTTGTTACCTCCACACTTTGGCATCTCTGTGAAGTCTAGCTGGAGATCTTCAAAGGGGGCTGCTCCATAAGCTTGCATGCCGGGTGGAACGGCTGGACCTTGCCTTGCATTATGCTGTCGGCAGGTAACACACCGCTGTGTCAGTTTTGGCAAAGGCTGACAAATGCGAGATGTAGAAATACTGGCCTAACAACTTTCCAAGTGACTCCTGACCTAGATGGGTGGTTTCATGCACAGCCAGTACAATTGCAGCTCCTAGCAGCTGTGGCACAGCTACTCTCCCATCTAGTAACCGAATGCATCCTTCCTCCATCACTTGTCCTCCCTCTACCTGGAGAAAGTCCTTTTCTTCTTTAGAATAAGTAGGTACAAGATCAGGTGCTTGAGGGAGCAGAGGGGCTGTGACTGATGCCCGCAAAGGGGCAGATGCTGCTTTTGGAGACTCTGAGTCAGTGCGGGAATTCCCCAAACCCACCAAGGTGGAAGCTCGCTGGTGTCCTTTGCAATGCATAACTGCCACCTTGTGGAGTTTCCATACTGCTTCTAACTGCAAGATTTCTTGTTGATATTCTATGTCTTTTCTGTTTATGTTTAATCTAATTTCTGATATAGTTGCATTCATTTCCACTACTTTTGATTTCAGTCCCATCTGGTTTGTTTTCATCTTTTAAATTAATATTATTCCATTTCCTTCTTTTATTTACTTGTTATAGATTCTTTTATGGATTATCTTAGAGATTACAGTGTACATTATTCTTTTATTACAATACAAATTACATTCACACTTTCATGATACTGCTAAAAACATATTGTTTTAACCTCATTTATCCTTTCCTTTTCCATTGTTATTGTGAACTTTAAATATGCTGAATTTTAAAATAACACAGGCATTCAATAATTGTTTTTTGTCCATTTGCTTAAATATTTATAATGTCTTCCTTGTCCATTTCCATGTCTTCATCTATGATTATTGCCCTTCATCCTGACCACAAATCTCCTTAGTTTTTCTTTTTAAAGTCTTTCTATTAAAAGCCATGGAATCCTACATTAGTAGCTATTTTCTTTTAACATATTAAAGATGTAATTCCAAACGGAAAATGATGTCAGCAAGATAGCAGAAGAGGAAGTCCTAGACCCTCCTTCCCCCAACAGGGACACCAGCTCAACAACAATACACATCCAGATATCCTATATTAGACTCTTCATCTTAATTTATTGTCTGCATTCTCTCCACTAGATGCTAAGCTCTTGGAGGGAAGAGATTTTGCTGTTTTGTTCATTGCTGTAGCTAGGGTGTGTGGAACAGCCTATGGCACATTACAGGCACTCAACATGTATTTACTGAAAAATAACCAAATGGGTACAAACCAAATTATTCCAGAGAAAACACTCTTTGTGAAGTCATTTTCAAATAACAATAAATGAATGCCCTCCAACATGATCTGTAACCATTCCTAAAATCAAACATAGCTGTATGTTTTTCTCATAACACAGAGAAATCAGTTATCAGATTTAGAAATACATAGCCGGCCAGGCGCGGTGGCCCACGCCTGTAATCCCAGCACTTTGGGAGGCCGAGGCAGGTGGATCACGAGGTCAGGAGATCGAGACCATCCTGGCTAACACTGTGAAACCCCGTCTCTATTAAAAATACGAAAAATTAGCTGGTCATGGTGGCGGGCGCCTGTAGTCCCAGTTACTCAGGAGGCTGAGGCAGGAGAATGGCGTGAACCCGGGAGGCGGAGCTTGCAGTGAGCCGAGACCGCGCCACTGCACTCCAGCCTGGGCGACAGAGCAAGACTCTGTCTCAAAAAAAAAAAAAAAAAAAAAAAGTGTATATATATATATATATATATATATATATATATATATATATATATGTATATAGCCACACATTTAATGTAAATTCATTTTAAAGATGCAAAAAAAAAAAAAACTATAGACAGAAATGGGATGAGATGTTTTCTGATTCTTAGATTAGCATTCTGCCTACGAAACTATGATACTACTTTATTTAAGAAAATAAATTGTCTTTCCCCAAACGGGAGAAAGAACAGTAACCACATGCAGGGAGTGGTGGGAGGAAAACAAAAGAAAACAAAACAAAAAACAATAGGATGGAAAAATACACACTCTGATCCATTAAAAATAGGCCTGTCCATCATGAATAGTTCATAGCTAAAAAAGGAGTCCCATGGTAACAGAAGACATATATGTAAAAAGGCTCTACCTGTTTTTGTTCCCCACCTTAGGAACAAAACAAAAATATGTGAAAATGTTTACCACTTTAAAAAAGGAAAAGGTTGACATTAGCTTTTATTTTAATCCCAAGATATCATCAAGCAAGACATTAGCTTTTTGACCATCCTTGGTGTCCATGTCAGAGTCTTCATGGCACATAACGAGCTCAGCTCTAAACCCAAGGTATGAACATAATAAGATGGATAGGAGTTAAAAGATGAGATGGTACAAGTATTCGAGACACTGGGTTCAAGCTCTAGTATCACTAGTGTGTTTAAATCTGATTCCTTAAGACACCTAAATCTTTGCAAAGACACAGGATGATCTGCATTTAAAAATCACTTAGTTTTATTTTGTTGAATAAAGCCATATACCTTGATAGAACATCTTCAATTAAGTGATGGCTCAGAAACTGTATATGAATTCAGAGAATGTTGAGACCTTAGGCTTCAAAATACTGAGAATTCAATCTTTCATTTGAAAGAATAATATCTATCCAGTGAAGTTCCAATTATAGATTTCATAATGAATTCTATTTATTGCTTCCTGGACCTGTCAATTCCATTAATGGATGAATATCTCTTCTGAATCATAACTGAGGAAGAAATGCCACTATTTTACCAATGATATTTATATCAGAAACAATAAGACAATGAGCCCATTCTGCTTGTATGCATTGGTCATTTTACGCACATCAATTGGGATTCTGGGAAAAATACTGATATAATAAAAATGCACATGGATATTAAGATAAAATTATATGCTTTTCATTTCAGACAAATCAATGGGGGTAGGAGGAAGAATACAGCTCTGATTTTATAGTGCAATGGCTAGCAAGTGGGGTAGTCGGAAAGACAGGAACCAATAAATTGTCGCAATCCTACTAATCATACAAAACCAAGATTATAAGGGCAAACACATACAATAAAAATAACTTTATATATGCTTTGAAGCATATTATATTGACTAAAGTATAACATACAAAATAAAAGAACTATACTGGTCTAATTTGGGGATATTAAAATATTACTTGGTTTACATAAAGTACAAACTCTTTTGTATTTGAAGAACATAACTCTTGGTTCAAAGACAAAATGCATAAATAAACCAATTAGTTCAAATTTGCTTTGAAAGGCTAAAAAAACTAAACCAAACCTGTTACTTAAAATACTTGGTTTGCTCAAGCCAGAGTATACTTAGAGTTTAAGTTTAAAAAGAATGAATTAACAGAACTTTAGGAATATACATTATTCCATCCAATAATGAATTCTATGTCTTTTACACCATATTACTGCACTGTACAATCTTTGAAACTTAAAATAATAACTTCAATTTTACTTTTTAAAATGTAGCTCTTTGGTAAGAATGATTATAAATACCAGGTGAGATTCTTCCCTAGTCCAACATGTGAGAATTTTCAGATACAAAACAAATGTGAAATTTTGGTATCATCTTATTATAAAACAAACACATTTTGATGACGCTGATATATCTCAAAATATATTTGAAATGCTTCCTTTGGAAATACACATGAAGCGTCATTAGGATATATTCACAATTCATTTCAGTCAGTTTTATCCAGTTTAAGTACTTACTACTCAACTTTTTACATGTTTTATTTTAGTTTCAGGGCATACATGTGCCGGTTTGCTATATGGGTGTATTGCACAATGCTGAGGTTTGGACTTCCAGTGAACCCATCAATCAAATAGTGAACATAGTATGCAACAGGTAGTGTTTCAACCCTCATTTCCTTCCCACTTCCCCTCTTTTGGAATCCCTAGTGTCTACTGTTTCCATTTTTATTTCCATGAGTACTCATTGTTCAGCTCCCGCTTATAAAAGAACATCTGGTATTTCATTTTCTGTTTCTGAGTTAGTTCACTTAGGATAATGGCCTCCAGTTTCATCCATGTTGCTTCAAAGAACATAGTTTCATTCTTTTTTTACGGCTGCATGGTATTCTATGGTGTATACATACCACATTTTCTTTATCCAATCAACCACTGATGGCCACTTAGGTTGACCCCATGACTTTGCCACTGTGAATACTGCTTCAATAACAGATGAGTGCAGGTCTCTTTTTGATACAATGATTGCCTTTCATTTGGATTGATACCTAATGATGAAACTGCTCAGTCAAGTGGTAGTTCTATTTTTAGTTCTTTGAGGAATCTCCATACTGTTTTCCATAGGACTGGAAGTAATTTACATCCTCAGCAGTGTATAAGCATTCCTTTCCTTTTAAAACATGGCTATTTCCAAAATATTTAAATCTACACCCAAAGACAGGAATTTGCTATATTAAAATTTTCAGATGACTGTGAACCTTAAAAGCCCTGAAAGTTATTCCAAAAGAAGAGTTTCAAACTTGCTTTCAACAGTGTTAACAGCACTGAAACATAAAGACAGCCTCTTAAGAGTTATATGGAAAAGCATGTATTCATTTATTTGAAAAGACAAAAAAACTACCTTTATCTCTTACACATTTTACAATCTTGACCCTTCATTTTGAACTTTAGATGTAAAAGGCATCAAAAAGAGTTTTACTTTTTTTCATTTCCCTTGAATGTTTCATTCAAATTATCCGTTTTGGCCAGTAAAACAAAAATATTTCTAATTCTAGAAACTACAAATTTAAAACAAGTCCTATTTAACAAAGGCATACATGATACCTGTAGACCTGATTTGAGAGGGAAAGATTCTGATTTTTGGAAATGACAGAAAAAGAATTTTAATTTGGGAGAAACCATTAAGCGTCCATAAAACTTTAAATACACTCACACATAGGCAACACAAATAAATTGCTTACTCTGCTGAACTTTCAAAATGTATTTTAATCTCATTCCAAAAAGAAATAAAATTTCTAGATACAAATACATCTCATTCAAGTCACTTTTTAACATACATTCTGCAACTTAAAATATTATAAGGATTCAATATTTTCATCTTTTATAATCTCAATATATTATATATTTAATATATAATATATATACAATACATACAGGTAGTCAGCAGGTTTACAAAGTAATTTCTTTAAAGTCTGATCAGTATTGATAAATATTTTAGCCTATTAAAAGGAACTAGTTAGGATCACAGAATAAAACAAAATATGGCAGGTCCAAACCTAATGGCAAGATTACAAATGTTCATATGGCCAATCATTTTAAAAGAACTCTCAAGTTGGGTGGAATATGTTTTAAAACAATACTCTTGCTATTCTCAAGCAGCAGTAGTTATATATTTTAACCATATTCATCTCCATTAAATTTAAAATAACTATGCAGCTTTCTTTACTGTAATATACAGTAGCTATCTCTTCCTTTCTGTTGGATTTTATTGTTTCAAGAGTAACTAATAAATTACCAACAGAAGAGACTTTAGCCCCTTTCCCTCCCCTAAAGCATGGCTCAGTTTGAAGATTGTTCTATAGGCAGCCACTATGACTATCAACAGTACCATAAAACCATTAAAAGCAATCAATAACTAGAGTCATGTGAGATGTTTCAAAGACTGCTGGAGGTTTCTGTAAACCAGGGTAATCAGAAATATTACCCTTGTAGATAGCCCTCTCATACCAGTAAATACAAAGAGTTAAAATTCCAATGCCACAGTGTAACAGTTAACAATCTATTTTGTAATTTTAAATATTACTACATTAATTCACCCTGAGAATACAGAGGAAACATTTAATACAAGACATTCTGATATGTTTTTTTTTTCCCATTGTATTTGCTTTCTTCTGGTTTTCATCAGCCCTTTAAGGGCACAGATATTTTAATTTAAAGGGTGATTTGGATATGCTTTTTTGTTAACTGAGATTCATGCCACAGTCAGATACTGGTGATAGAAAAGCCCAAAAAGGCTTGTAGAAAAGAGGCAAGCAGCAATCCACCAGGTCAGAAAAGACAGAAGTCCTCGAAAAAGAAGAGGAGTAAAAATATTTTTTAAGCTGCTCAGTGCCACTGTTATTTGTGTAACAGTTACCTTCATTTTCCCTTCAGCTGATGGTAATTCAGAGTAAACAGAATTGGACAGTAGACTATTATCCACTGGTAAGGTAGAGATAGATTCTGGATAAATACCCCAGGAATGATTACCTAGAAAATCAAAGACACAAATACAATTTGAAGAGTAACTAATTACCAAGCTTTTTATTAAAAAAAAATCTTCCTATATTTGAAATTAACAATATGTTTAGTGGCACAGTACATCATTTTATGTTAAAAATAAAGTAAAATAATAATCCTTCTAGATCTGTAAAAAATTAACCTGACTAGAGACTATCTGGCCTCATCAGTAAAGGTACACATTAAAGCAAAAAGTCTGATATATTTTTAATTAACTGCACTAAAAATTGGTAAAATAACAAAACAATTTCCTCATTGTATAAGAAATTAATCAGCTAACTCTACTGGAGTGACAAGGACAGATTCAATAACTTCTGAGAAATCTTTTCTACTTCTAGAATATCAAAATAAATTCCTTTCTCAGAAACTATGATTTCAATGTGAAAACCTATTAATAGCTTCCAAAAATTTATTTCATCATATACTTTCCTACAGTGGATAGGATATGAGCCACTTAATTTACAATTGAACTACCTATCCCTTTACATTCCGTAGATTCTTACAGGGCACCTATACCTATCATCAAGTCTATGACACCTACTAGGTCCATGAAGCTAAATAATGCTTTTAGTTCTTTCAGGTTTCTTAAACCCTAACAGTGGCTGATTGCCTGATCTAAGAAAGGGGAAATGATCAATGCAATAATAGACACCTCTTGAATAACACCACCACATGGGGACTTGATAGCTTAGTGAAGAGACTTGTAGAATTTTGTACTGAGAAATCTTCACCGTTTCGATGTAAGTTATCTAAACTAGAACTTACCATAGCATTCTGTAATTTATGTAAGTTTATAATTGCCTTGTAATAATTTAAATGTTAGGCAATAACAAAACCTTAAATCATCCTCTTATAACATGAAAGTAACTAAGATCAACAGTGCTTACTAAAGTTACTGGGTAAATCTGAGACTTAACCTTTAGTAAACAATTCTTGAAGACAAAGCATAAAGTTATAAAACCATGGGCCTGAGTTTTCAAAATGAAGATGATAAATCACCTTCCACAGCTAAAACTTTCCCATGGTTCTTTTTACAACTTTTAAAAAGAGAAACAATTTTAAGAGTTGCATTTCTTTGTTGGTGACAAAAAGCTTTATTAATTATAGGTAGAAAGTAAAAGATGCTTCCTAGTTGCCAGGGCATGCCTACCTAGTGTTTTCAAAAGCAGAGTTGTGTGAAGCAGCATTACCAGAGGCGCCACATACTGCAGTGCAATGACACAAAGATAATAAAAGACTCGAGCCACCTGCAACCAACAACATTCTTAAGTGTCTAATGCAACTGACATGTTAGGAGTGAATTAAACTTTCATATAATTGCCATACCAAAATACTTAAGAGATAATCCTTTCACAAGAAGGAAGCTAAATGTCAGTAAGTTGTGCTGCATGATACATGTCCCCAAAATGACTTTGGAAAGGCTCAATTTGAAGACAAGTTTTTAGAACGTGAGAATATTAAAATAGATTCCTTAAAAATAATTCTTAAATGATGTATATATATTGGAGAAAATAATGACTAAGATTCAAATGGTATATATTTACTTATATTTCAAAGATAAAACACAATGTAAGGGCATCTACCTAAAATATCCAACTAAATAACAATAGTAGGCAGAGCCACATATGAGCATAAATCCCTCATAAATAAAAACATTAAGTCCCCATTCTACATGAACATATTTGAAGTCAAACTATGGAAAATATAAAAATATATAAAAGGTAAAACAGAAAAAAGTTGTTTAAATCTTAATAAATGCCCCTAACTATGGAGGTGAATCAAAAACTGAAGCTGGTTGGGCGTGGTGACTCACGCCTGTAATCCCAATACTTTGGGAGGTGATGCAGGAGGATTACTTGAGCCCAGGAGTTCAAGACAAGCCTGGGCTACACAGAGAGACCCTGTCTCTACAAAAAATAAAATAACAATAATAATAATAAAGCAAGGTAGCCAAAAACCACCTCTCTTAAAAAAAGAATGAGGTTATTGGTCCACTATAGTGGCAGATGGATTCCTTGTCCTTTTATTCTCTGGAAGCCTCAAATAAATTAAATACTTACATTTCATGTTCAAGTAAATTGAGTAATATTAAAATGAATAAATTTAGCCACTAAAAGTAGTATTTCCTACTCTTTAAGTCTTAAAGTCTGGACAATATGTTATAATGTCTTTCAAATCAATTAGAAGGGTCCCATTTAGCAATATTAGGCATAAAACAGCTTTGTACCACCCACTGTATGACACCAAGCACTTAAGGCAGGAAGAGGAATTAAGACCTCACTTGGCACCAAAATCAGATCAAGGTCTCTTTGATATCTGTCAACTTAAGATTGTTCTGTTTATTTATAATAAGAATATGATGGGTTGAAATACTATCTACTAAAGGAAACCAATTTTTTTTTTTTTTTACAGTGCGGTTTTTGCTATTTTTCATTTTGACTAGGGTATAAAACTTACCATTTTCTGTAGCTCAACCGTGCTTATTCGCCCCGCTTCTTTCTTCATCTGATCCACACATTTTTGGGCTAAATTTAAATAAGCTTGCAGGTGACTACGCATCATGGCCAACCGCAAAGCACACAGCAGGATTATTAACCAGAGTCGCAGAGTATCGAATGTGGCTTCTGTCATTCTACAGATCAAAAAGTTGATACGGTGCTCTCAAAGACAACAATATGCTAGCATGCTCGTTATATGTTAATGGTCACCATATAAGATATAAGAAGTCTATACTTCGCAACAGTTAGACACATAAAAGAATCTGACTCTGCCATAGACTTAACTGTATAATACTTTAACTTGAATAACAGAACTAGATAAATGTATCATGAAAGCGTAAGAAGTTAACAGGTATCTAGAAGAAAAAAGTAGAGCAATACATGAGATCCTTTTCTCTATATACCCTCCTCCATGGATAAAAACTGGCTGTGACATGAAAAGACAAGTTGGGGAAAGAAAGAAAACTGCAGGGATTGCCTGTGGGACTAATCAAGTCAATCACCCAGCATCACTGGTTACAGCTTTGCCTGATCATATACCTACTTGGATGGGATCTTTCAATCTGCTGAGCTTTTACTTGGGACCACTGGAAAATCAAAAATTCTGATATATCATGAAGAAATCAGGTGCCTGAGATTCCTCTACAACAATTCATTTAACTTGCTATGCGTTGAAGCTGGCTCGGTTCTGAGCAATTCCTCAAGGTTAAGGTTAAGATTCCAGGTGAAAATACATAACGGAAGGACACCATTTCAGAAACCAGACCACTGATGAGGGCTGCTTAAAGAATTTTTAGAAAGAAGAGATAACTTCTGATGTCCTTTTGGTGTTTAATGTTTTTAAAAGACCATGGGTTTCTGCTCTGATGAAGAACTACATTGCAAGTAATTTGAATGTAGTGACTAGACCACCCTTGGCATCTAGTCTTATATCTAGTACCTATCAGGCACTTAAAATGACTATTGTAATGCACAGACTCATTTGCCAGATAAAACCTGGAACTCAGAAGGGTCTCCCTGAAATTCTTAAGAACATGACGGTAGAATGGATGCATATAAAGAACAAATGAGAAAAGATTAAAAAAAAAACCCTCATAACTAAAACTACAATATAGGAAAATTTGAAGTGTAAAATTTTGCTCGAACTGTTTATGAAATGGAGGTAAGAAATGGGGATGGGACAAAGGCTTTACTATATATACTCTCTCATTTCTTTTTATTAAGTCATGAGGGGACATGGACATAAAATTTCAATGGAAAAGCAATGTTGGCTAAGAAAGATAAAGGCATAACATTTTATCAACATGTTTCCACTACAATGAACAATGAGATTTAGGAGCCATCATGTGAGAGTAACAGTACGTAAGACACAAGCCTACCCACAGCCTTGACCCTTTCCTGGGGACCTATAAACAATACTGTGCTCCCTCCAGTTGTGCAACAAGGACAACTAACTGGGAGCAGCCTGAAGACAGCTATTTCACAGCCTTTGAGGATAACAGGTAACGTGAATGAAAGGAACAGAATAAGGTAGTGAACTAGAAAATTATTTGTTCAGTTTATGAGTTGAGGATTTAGGATAATAGTCATTAAATAGTACTTTCTAATTAGATTATTCCATACCATCATAAATATCTGAAGAAGTTGATCTGATAGAGTATCTCAAGAAGGAGCATGAGGAGGAGCTTAAAGTATATAGGGAAAGAACAGGCAGAAGAAACCACCTTAAATTCCTGATGCCATTCTGAGCTTTCCTGTATATGCTGTGTTCTTCTTAGGAGATTATGAGCACACATGGACTCTGTTTACCATATTTTATTTTTTTCAATGCTTTATCAGAACACATGATGGACTCAAACACATTTCTGGGTTGAAACTACATTATACCATATTTTTGCTTCTGATTACAAAGACCTTTCCACAAACCAATTTGTCTGTGACAGAAGAAGAACCTGTCACTTTATTTTTCCTTCATCCTACCCTCTTTGATGGGCAGCCATTTTTTCACAATCTATCACATGCATTTTAGATTTTTAACAAAAATTAAAAACTGCCTCTAATAACTTAACCACGAATTCAAATTAAAGAAGAATAAAAGAGAGCAGAGGTAAAACTATAATTTTGCTTGGAATGCTTATGAAACAGGTCAGAAATGGGGATGGGACAAAGGGGGGAAAAAGCTATAGAAAGAGAACCTCAGGTCTTTATATACAAACAATATTTTTCCTATAATTTAATATACACACAAGGGAAAAGTTCCTTATTCCCATTTCTATTAAATAAAGTATTCATTACTAATAAATCCACATGAAGTTTAATCAGACTGGAAGTGGGAAGTGAATGTTGGTATAACTACCAAGTGTTTTATGTACACGCGATCTGGCTGAATAACCTTAGTCAAATTATTTAACCTCTGAGCCTGTTATTTCATGTATAAAATAGGATGACAACAGCAACAAATGGACAATTACCATAAGAAGATACAATATGTAAAGTATGAATATCTCACATAATAACTGGTATATAAGTGTTTTATAAATGCTAGTTTCCTTATTTTCTCAATTTAACTAAGGCAAATATAAAAATCAGGGAACATAGTTACAGGAGTATGAAATCCAGTTTCCATGACCAAAATCTCAAGGAAGGATTGGGAATGCTTTCAGTATCAAAGATATGAATTAGTAGTTTCTCTGAGACTTTTCTAGAACCTTAGATCCTTAGAATTACTTTTCAATACTTAGGGAATCTGTCAAGTTAAATTACCATTAAGGTAATTAGTGTGTGTCGGCGGCGGGGAAGCATTACTTTTTCAGTGGCTATTTCCTGGGTTCAATAGGATTAACTCTAAAAAGAGAAATTATCATGGTCATCACTGATTTTATATATATTCCAAGACAAACTGGTACCAGGATCTAAAAGAAGGACACAATACAAAAGGTACACTGCGGAGTCAATGACTAGTCAAGTATTTCTATTTTAATTCTGATGAGGCAAAGCAGTGAAAAGAACATTTATTAAGCACTTAATTCCAGCTGGTTGCATTACATGTGTTCTTTCATTTATTCCAATGATAACCTTGTGAGTTAGATACTATTATCTTCATCTTCCAGATGGGGAAACAGAGGCTCAGTGAAGTTAAATAACCTGCCTCAAATGAAGATTTTAGTGAGGAGGAGAGCTGGAGTTTGAACCAGTTCTGTCTGAAACTTTCTATTACTCTAACAGTTCTACAAGGCTAACAGATCAAGTCTAGTTATTAATGCCTATTAATAAACTGTTTGTTTCCTCACCATCTTCTTCTGCTAAAATACAGTTGCCTAACTGTAGAAATATAAACTAGTATTAGATAATAATATTAAGGTATTAGTATTAGATAACTGTTAGGTACGATGATGTTATTGTTATATAGGAAAATATCCTTATTTTTTTTAGAGGTGCAAACTAAAGAAAGTACTAAGGGATAAAACTGTTATGTCTCTAATTTACTTCAAAAATCCTTCATCAAAAAACAAAACAAAGAATGGATGAAGCAAATATGGAAAATGTTAACAACTGTCAAACATAGGAGTTGAGTATATGAGTTTCCATTTATACTTTTTTCCTCCATAATTTTCAAAATTAAAACAAAAGAACTCCAGAAGGTATCTGAACAATAGCCACAATGACAACAGAAAAATGATGACGACTGGACATAAAGAGGAGGAAAAAAATAGTGTGTAAGGTAATATTAGTGCAAGGTAATAATCATTAACATTAACTAATAAAGATCACAAAAATGTTACATGATGGTCTGTAGTTTCAATTTTCTAACACATCTTTTAGCATTCCTATTAATGTCTGAAAAATACAGTGTCCTGATTTTATCACTGAAAACGAAATACAGTAAATAACATTTAGTAAAGCAGTTTTGGTGATAAAAATCAGCCCTCAAATGCCCATACTTACAAAGGGATACTTTCTTTGCCCAGTGGTGGGTTCATAATGTAGTCTTTGGTGATTGGTTTTACCCAGAGCAGAACCATAAATAAAGGTGCCAAGAAGTTGATATGAAGTAAAGTTCTGAAAGTACGTAAGAAATAAATATAAAAATTCAGAAACAGCACGTGCTAATAAACTACAGAAGCTGGGGTCTTACTAAAATGGAGGTAGGAGCTTATTTGCAGTATTCTACTACTTACGATACTACTGTCACCATCATTTTATATTTATCATTATGATTTAACACTGATTTGAGCCTGTGAGAAATTATATCATTATCTTAATTTTTCAAATGAGAACATTTAGATACAGAAAAGTTAAATGACTTGCTCTTGGCAATAAGTTAATGTAAATATAGGACTAAAATTCAGATTTGTTCACTTCTATTCTAGTATTCTTTAATAATCTCATACTTTATTCCTGATTTAATAAGCAGGTATTTAATGATTCTAACTTTATATAGTCAACGAATCTAATGGATTTTCAGTACAGAAGAGTCGTCTGATACTTTCTAGGGCAACTGAAACAAAGTGTCTCCTCATTATCTACAAGTAAATGATAGTGATTAGCCAGGTCCATATTACTAGAAGGCATATGGCAGACGGAACCTACTGCAACAACCCGCAACTGAGGAACCTTTTAACGTGTAATGATCATTTATAATTTTTAACTTCCATTGTTAACAATCGTTAAGTGATTCCACATTTTAATTTCTTTTTGAATGAGTATGAACACACTTGAAATAATTTCCCTATCATATATATATATATATATATATATATATATATATATATATATATATATATATATATATATATATAATTTGCATTACTCCTGACAAGGCAATATACCTAATACAGCAAAGGTTTCAGGTCTGCGCTATAACTTCATTGTTAATTGTCCAAGTTTGTATCCTACAGAGATAGATGGCTGATAAAAATTTTTCTTATTTTAGAAAAAACGCAAATTCTTCACCCATTTTATTACCATAAACTGCTTTCATTATCAACCACACTTAAGAGCTAAACTGGAGGGTTCAAAATACACACAAACACCACATTTTAAAGTATCACTACATAGGCAGACAGTGATCTGTGTGAGTGAACAGGGCTGGGTCAGGAAGCCACAAACACCTAACAGGGAAAGGCAGAACTCCCGCTCTAACCTCTGATATAAAAACACATCCTAGTGCCTAGCCATGGGGGTGAAGAGAATGCTGCTCTTTGTGCCAGTCATGTTACTCTCACAACAGAACTAGCTTGCCCACACCCTTGTATCAAGGCAGAGTGCTACAACACAATGAGGGGCTGCAATAAACTGAAAATAAAATAAAACCCCAAATCCCCCAAGGGAAAAAATCTTAAAATGAAGCCACATTTTACTAAAAAGGACACTAAAATGTGCACTCCACCTCCAACCACCACCAAATGCTTTAAATGTTTTTATAAAGTGATTCTTTCATCCCACAGACTGGGTAAACCATCGGATGTGGGGAAGAAAGCAGCAGTATTAGGTATGCAGTGTTGCTAGGGAACACTCTAGTATCAAGGAGCAGCCCACAGCGGTTTCAGTAGCTTGTGAAGGGCTCCCCTCCACCCACCCTTTTCAGCTTATTTAAATCATAACACTGGGGTTAGTGGACTGAAGTGTGTGTGCAGAGAGGAGGGGGAGAACCAGGTTTTGTCTTAAAAGAAGCCATTAGGGAGACGGGTGGTGGGAGAAAGACGGGATGCAGCCAAAAGCACACTGAGTAAAAGGAGAAAAAAAAAAGAAGAGGGATGAAGGAGTGTGTAGTGGGAGGCGATAGTAAGTAAACACATGTACAAAGCTTATGTAGAAAAATGGAAGTGAGGTTAAAAAAAAAAGACAGTCAAAATTAAATTAAAGGGAAATGACAGGTAAGAGAGACAAGAATGTGAAAAGACTAAAGAATCAGCATCATTAAAAATAGGTTTTAAAGAATAGAAATGTTAGGAAATAAGATTACCCAGATAAACTTAATGGTTATAAATACACATATCAAAATGAAATATTCTCAAGTTGGGCTTCTACTGCAAAACAAAACGATGAGACAGGAACTTTGATCTGCATATGATTTGAAGTAGATATAAGCCTATCTTTCTGCCAAGATGTCTACATCAACAAAAAAAAATCTGTGACAAGCACAAAGAATATAGTAAATGGGCTTTGAACTACATATGAAGATGAAATGTGACTTGTCCAAACTAACATATAACTTCAGAACTAAAATAGAATTTGGTAGTTAGAAGTAATGTACAACATATAACATTGTAGAGTACTAACAATCCCAAAATAATGTATTATTTTAATAAGAGTCTAATAAGCAGGTCAGTAACTTAAGGAAAACAAACACCTCTTACATACAACTTTAAGTTTTAAAATGTTTTTAAGTAAAATTTTACATTAAAAAGTTAATTTAAATAGATATATATGAAAATTTAAAACAATATTTTAAAGTAAAATGATCTTATTTTTTAAGGGAAATTTCTATGGATCCTCAGTTTAGTTGTAGAGATTGCAGTATAAGCCCCTGAATTAGAAATAACATAAATTTTGAGATTTTCATTTTAACAGGTAAGACAAATTTAGTAATCGATGATGTATCTTTTTAAATACAAGACTTAAAATTTAGAAGCAAATAAAAGAAACTTGCTTATAGTTGAAAGAGGAAGTAGTGTGACATCAAATGGTTATTAATTTTCAATACAATAATTTATGATTACATTACAATATTATACCTTCATTAAGATGGAAAACATATATTTATCTGCATGTGCTTATGTACATTTTCCGCTTACTGTGTAATTTTTTCTGTTGCCAAATTCAGGGCATCCAGATGCATTTGAGCCAGTCGTAATCCAGGAAATGTCAAAAAAGCCCCAATGAATGAACAGAAAATAGCCAGGAAAAATTTGAAAGTAAGTTTTGAAACAGGACTCCTAAAAATAAAATTTTTTAAAAAGCTGATAAATTTTTATAATTAGCTTTTGAAGAATTTCTTTTCTTCTAATCAATTATCTTACAAATAACAATAACAGTAAAACAAAGCAAATTTCTACAAAAAGATTGCTATTATTCAAGTACCTATAATGGATTCTGGTGAACTGTAAACTAAATGAGGCATCTCTTTAGTCATAGTCACAGCAACCTAACCTACACATTCAACAGGGAATTGACATATAACTTGGATATAAATTTAATCTCTTGAGGGAGAGGAATTTAAGAAATGCAAATTTACATAAGAATTCTATAAAAGACACTAACTTTATATAGTCATAAAAATTATGAGTAAGGATGTTTCTAGAAGTGACAGTCCAACTTAAAACTCTTTACTAATTTAAAACAGCTATTTATAGTAAATACTGCTTTATTAAAAATAGAAAAGGTTAAATTTAAATAATGCTTAATTTTTCAAAAACTTACTGAGATTCTAAACCTTGCTTTTCAAGAAACTGCATCGCACTGTCTGAAAAATTTGTAAACCCTGTGGGGGAAAAAAAAAAAAACAACAGATTACTCTTATCACAAATGTGAAATACAGAATCTTTCCATGGAAATAAAATGTTAGAAAACAGAGCATCTTAAATTTTGAAGTGACTAGCTTAGCTCTTTCATGTGTTAATTAGTATGCCATAATGCAATAAAATTTGGTTATTAGCAGGAACAGTCTTTGAAAACGTCCCTTTGATATTTGTACATTCCATGAGTGTGCATAAAATTTGCATTAATTCTTCAACTATAAGAGTAAACTTTAGCATTACAGAAACTTATTTAACTGTAAGGAAAAAAACGAGACAGTATTTTTGGAAAAAAACATTAATTAAAAACTTAGCTAAAACAAAAGCAAAAAATGAAGATCTTAATAATAAAGGTTAATTATTTTGAACATTACAGAGTATACACTTTAAATTTAATTTTAGATATTTATCAGACATAAAACTTAAATACTGAAGTCAAAAATATTAACACTAGATAAAGCAAAATTGATTTTTAAAGTTGTATGAAACTATTACCTGTTTCAAGTCCAAATTCCAGATAATTTTCTGTTACAATCAACACTGCCATTGCTTTGACAAAGAAAAAAAATCCAAAGGTGACACAAACAGATCTTTCACCACCATCTTCTACTTTAAAATAGTGTGTAGTTAATGAAAATAGAACTTTGCTGCAGAAGGAAAAGTTCAGGAAAAACCACAATAAATTTATAGGAGCTATACACAATGATCTTTATAGGACTTGATTGCAATAAAATTTGACTACAACATTTATTTCCAAGTGGAGTTTAAAACACTTTTAAATTAAGGAAAAGAGCACCCATATACTAAGTTGTAGCTAGGGAATGTATTTCTAGTTTATCTCACTCAAATTTTACTAGAAGGTTATTTCAAGATTTTTATGCAGTATGTTCTCAGTGACATGAAAAGCCAGGGTAGAGGTTATTCTAGAGAACTGTCTTTATTAGGCATGTCTGTTAAACCAGTTTACATTTATAATTAAACACATAACACAGGAATCCTCCGTAATAATTCAACAAGTTAAAATTTGAGAATTTTACTAGTAGCTATTGTTGATCTGTGGTATGAAAACTAAGTGTCTGGGGTCACCACTTCACATTAGTAATAAGAAAAAATCTTTAGAGAAAACAAGTTCCAACTGAGTATTCAAAAACAGCAAAAGTTTCAACATGTTCACCTATTAAAATAGGCTGAAGAGATTATCTTATCTGAACCACCCCAACACACACAAATTGATTTAATCAAGGTTAAATCAGTGCATGGCCCAAAGATAGAACTCAGATTTCCATTATACACCAAATTGTTCTCCTTGAAATCGCAAAACAAACTAAGGTGCTTGGCAAACAAACCTAGAAAAGTAACCTTTACGTAAAGTTTATGTCAAGCATGGAAAATTAACAGCTATCACTTAGTACTTGCCATATGCCGGGCATTACCAATTAACTTTTAATTCTCACACTAACCACATTATTATTGCTACTTTACAGACATTTTAAAAAACTTAAACAAACAAACAAACAAACAAAAAACAACTGTGGGCCGGGCGCAGTGGCTCACGTCTGTAATCCCAGCACTTTGGGAGGTCTAAGCCGGCGGATCACCTGAAGTCAGGAGTATGAGACCAGCCTGGCCAACACGGCGAAACCCCGTCTCTACTTAAAATACAAAAATTGCCGGGCGTGGTGGCTCACGCCTGTGATCCCAGCACCTTGGGAGGCCGAGGCGGCTGGATCACGAGGTCAGGAGATCGAGACCATGCTGGCTAACATGATGAAACCCCGTCTCTACTAAAAATACAAAAACTAGCTGGGCATGGGGGCGGGCGCCTGTAGTCATAGCTACTAGGGAGGCTGTGGCAGCAGAATGGCGTGAACCCGGGAGGCGGAGCTTGCAGTGAGCTGAGATCGCGCCACTGCACTCCAGCCTGGGTGACACAGTGAGACTCCGTCTCCAAAAAAAAAATTAGCCGGGCATGGTGGCACACGCCTGCAATCCCAGGTACTCGGGAGGCTGAGGCAGGAGAATCGCTTGAACCTGGGAGGCGGAGGTTGCAGTGAGCCGAGATAGCACCACTGCACTCCAGTCTGGGCAACAAGAGTGAAACTCCGTCTCAGGAAAACAAAAAACAAACAACAGCAGCAACAAAAAAACAACAACTGTGGCAGAGAGGTAAAAGTAAAAATATCAAAATCACAGCTAGATTAGAGAAAGTTGAGATTTAAAACTAGACAGTCTGGATCTAGAATCTGTGCACGTAACTATTGATTACATTGCCTCTAAAACACTGTACATAGCACCTAAGTCAATGTGGTACTTTTAGCAGTAACACATAAAATCTTTTCAAAACAGAACTGCCCTGACAGAAGTAAAGAATTAAAACATTCTCATAATCAGAAGAATCCTTTCATATATATCTCACACACATAGTCTGAAGGTAATTTTATACAACATATTTAATAATTTTGTGCATGAAAAAAATTTTGACTGCATTTTAACTGCAATCTCTCACATGAGGCCCAGTGTAAAGTCTTCTACTTCTGGTGTTATGTCAGTACTGGAAAAGTTTTGGATTTTGGAGCATTTCGGATTTTGGATTGTAATGCTCAACCTGTATCAAACAATACAGGTCCATCCATCTCTTTCTTGGCATTATAAGGAAGAGCTTACATATTAGAAGAGGACAAAGAAAGATGAATATAGTCAAACTGCAAAACTACAACTGAACTGCTTTTAAGATACAGCTATGATCTCTCATAGCCTAAATGCCTTAAACTCAGGTTTGAAAAACACTGCTTTATTTTTACTGAAAATGTTTACTAGAATCTATAAGGAGACAATTTCCAACTTCTTTTCTTACACTGAAAAACAAAATAGTATCTTTGGCCAAAAGTGGTACCAAATCATCAGAATAAAATTTCCCAAAAATTACACCTACCACCACACTTTGTTATCCTAGAATAATGAAATTACAAAATATGTCAACACTAAAGGAAAACAAAATTACATGCAATCTGATCCAGACATGAAGCATGATCTTGCACTTATCACTAATACTTTACAGTCCCACACCACAAATGCCTAAAATGGTATAATCACTGCATCCTCACTTCATATTGCATACTGGATAAATCTTAAAAACCTAATTATTTATTGAGTTCCACATTAGAACACCATCTCCCAATAACCCGTATGTAATACTATGATCTGGCCACACTCACATGTTCAAGCTTTCATTCAATAGTCCCCAAATCTCCACCTCAATCAGAATAGTGTACTTGCCATCTCCTGAGTGTCATCACTACACTGTCTTGGATCATAATCTATCATCTGAACTCTTCCCTCCTCCTACCCAATCCAAGACTCAACAAAAGCTCCATATCTTTCATGATACTTAACATTACCTTCCCAGCTGAGGCCATTCTTTTCCTCTTTTGAACTTATTGTATCACTTACTAATATAATTCACTCGCCATGTAATCATATACTATCTTAAACTATAGTGTGACAAAGTTGTAAAGAAAGCATTCTCTAGACCTAGAGTGTC
Source organism: Homo sapiens (assembly GCF_000001405.40). NCBI lineage: Eukaryota > Metazoa > Chordata > Mammalia > Primates > Hominidae > Homo > Homo sapiens. The sequence continues at coordinate 88,210,075 of NC_000005.10, forward strand.
TGGCTTAATCCTGGTTCTACTCTTACTAAACTATGTGATCTTCCACTTGAAAATTAATTTCTCTGTGTCTTAGTTTCTTCATTTGTAAAATGCCGCCAGTCCACAACCTCACAGGGCTATTTTGAAAAGCAAAGATTAAGTCTTCCTAGTTCTCAGCAACAACTTAATGTTTTCTAGACAACTGAATTAAATATTTAACATGTAATACCAAAAATATGGGAATGTATACAAAAACATATGGATCAATACAATACAAACAGATAATGATACCATTCCTGATTGTGTTTAAATTTTTAAAATTCTATGATAATTTATTTTAAGAGGTACAAGATTAAGAAGTATACAGGCAGTGATGTGCTGTGCACTGACTTCTATGTAGGTGGCAACTAGACTCACAACTCTCCACTCTGATTGCCTTTCTATGCAGCCAGGCCACTCTGACTCCAGCAGAAGACTAAGATTTTTGCCTCTGAAGAAACTGAACCTGAGGCACAGAAGAGTTTAGATTTAGTCAACTGCATCAAAAACAGGATGATTAGGTGAAAGTCTACACAGTCAAAGGTAGTACTCACCTTGGAAACATGTGTAGCAGTTTTGTACACTCCAGGCAGGAGATTAAGAGATTCTCCTCTAGAGAAACTGAAAGGCCTCAAGGAAAAGACCAATAAACAATGACACTATGGGCTACCTAAAATAAAGCTGGTTTTAGTATTATCAAGCTATTCTTTAGTGAAACTAACCAAGCCCTAATTACATACAGAGCTTCCAATCAGCTTTTAGAGGCCATCTCTTAAAAATGAAAGGAATCCTCAGACATTAAAAAAGGAATCGGAAAACATTTTCTATGAAAGACCAGATAGTAAATACTTCAGGCTTTGTGGTCCATATGCAGTCTCTGTAGCATATTCTTCTGCCTACTTTGTTCCCCTAATCCTTTAATAATGTTAAAAAGCCATCTTAGCTCAAGAGCTGTACAAAAACAGGCTGCAACCCAGATACTGCAAGCCATAGTTAGGCAACTATTATTAGATGTATCTAATACATCGAATAAGATGTATTAGAGTATCACATCTTATAAAAAAAATACGAGCTAAAATCTGCAACAGAAAAAAAGTAACTTCAAGAAAAAAAGAGATGACAGACACAGCAGAATGAAGTTTGGGTATATAACTATACATACAGAAACAGATACATACATATTTTTATTTAGAGATATTTATAAACATAGGATATGCATATTTCATAAAGCTAGACAAAGATGAATGCATCTTTGAAATAAGATCAGGATGCTATGAAAAATGAATGGTTAGACATCAACGAGAAACAGGACAGGAAAAATAAGAAAAAAAAAAGTCAAAAGTTCCATCAAGCAGAACAAAAAGACAAAATGAAAAGTAAGACAAGACCGGGCGTGGTGGCTCACACCTGTAATCCCAGCACTTTGGGAGGCTGAGGTGGGCAGATCACCTGAGGTCAGGAGTTTGAGACCAGCCTGGCCAACATGGCGAAATCCCATCTACTGAAAATATAAAAATTAGCCGGGCGTGGCGGCGGGCGCGGCGGCGGGCGCCTGTAATCCCAGCTAACTCGGGAAGCTGAGGAAGGAGAATTGCTTGAATCCAGGAGATGGAGGTTGCAGTGAGCCGAGATCGCACCACTGCATGCCAGCCTGGTAACAGAGCAGAACTCCATCCAAAAAAAAAAAAAAAAAGTAAGACAAAAACTGATGATGAGAGGTTAATCCAGAACATACAATATCTGACTAATGAAAGTGAGACAGAGAAAGAAAATGGGAGTGGAGGGACGGACAGAAGAAATTCTCAAAGACATAATCAAAGAAATTTTCTAAACTTGATGTTTCCAAATTAAAGAGCCTACCAAAAGCCCACCACAAGGAAGTAAAAAAGATCCTCATGAGGTACATGAGCATGAACTTTCAGAAACAAGACAAATCAAGAGACAACTGTAAAAGTTTCCTCAGAAGAAAAATAAAGCAAAACTAGGTATATGCAAAAGATTAAATATCACCATGATAAGTAATTCTTAATAGCAATTTTCAAGGTTGAGGACAATGGAGCAATGCCTTCAAAATTATGAAGAAAAATATGGATAACCTAGAATTCTATAACCAACCAAATGCCAACAGAAAGAGTATAAAATTAAAACACTTTCAAAACTGCAAAGTCTAAAAATAGTTACCTACCCCACATTCATGCTTTAGCAGAAAGCGCCACCAAAACATTTTGACAAATCAAGAAAGAAAGACACTAAATTCTAATAGGAAAGAAAAGTCAAGGACAAGTAGGACAATTTCCTCAGGAGGAAGTATTTTAAATATTTTTACCTTCAAGCTGAAGATAAGCTTCCAAATGATGAACAGGTTCAAGTTTTAGGTCTAAAATGGCAAATTTCTCTCAGATTTAGAATAACAACTTAATTAAATAACATACACTTATAAAAGTACTATTATGGGCTGGGTCCAGCGGCTCACACCTGTAATCCTAGCACCTTGTGAGGTCAAGGTGAGCAAATTGCCTGAGCTCAGGAATTCATGACCAGCCTGGGCAACATGGTGAAACACCATCTCTACCAAAAATACAAAAAATTAGCCAGGCTTGGTGGCACGTGCCTATAGTCCCAGCTACTCAGGTGGCTGAGGCACAAGAATCACTTGAATCCAGGAGGCTGAGGCTGCAACGAGTCAAGACCATGACTTCACTCCAGCCTGGGCGATGGAGCGAGATTATCTCAATGCTCTTTTGAGAAGAAATAGACCATATTCCAAGAAGAAATATTTTGTTGCTAATACACAAGTATGATAAATAGTATCCTAAGGAATAAACATAGAGATTTCTCAAAAAACTTTCACAAATTTATGATTATCTCTTTAAAATAGATCACATTTCCACTCAACTAAGTGATTTTTATATAAACTGAGTTTTTCTATTCTGTGAAAAAAGATTCTATTGTTTTTCTGATCACTGCTACTAAATAAAATCCCTAATGTTTTTCTATTCAAATAATTAAATCTTCCACCTCTGTTTTTCCATAAGAAAAGGCAACTAAAATACTCAAAATATATTATACTTCACATTCTACATTGCAAAGAAACCTAGAAACTGTACCAAGAACTTATTACAGATATACACTGAAAACTAAAAATAAGTACATTAATCCTAATGACCTATTAAGTAAAAGTCTTAAAAATAATCTGATCCTATCTTCCAATGTTAAAAAAAATTTTTTAACAAAAATAATTTTAAACTAAAATATTTTTCATACTTTCTTAGATATGCAGTTTCCATTACTTTAATTACAGAGAAAAAGAACCTAAAATTCCCTTAGATATAAGCAAAAAACTATCGTGCCTGTTTAAAACGCCATTCCACAAAAAAAGCTTTCAGCCAGCCTCAACCTAACCAGACTGTGAAGAGAATAGCCAAAAATTTCTGAAAGCATAATATACAACCTTTATTTAAAATACAAAAGAAAACTATCTTTTATTTTCAGAAAAATTTTTATTTTCAGAACAAAATTTCAGTTTCAGAAAAAAAATTATCACTTTGCAGCTAAAAGAGCAAAGTCAGACTCAATTATAAATTAATAAACAGAAATAATGTCCTATTACCCCAAATCTCTATTTAACTCTAGATTTTTGTCTTGAAATCTGAGTAATATGACAGCATTAATGTCACAAAAAAATCTCCATGTTCATACAACAAACAAGCGTTGACATAACATGACATATACAACTTTTCAAGATAAAACAAGTACCTTGGCTCAGATTCAATAACTCTGAGTTTCATTCCTTTTCTCACTAGAACTGAAATCTTATGCAGTTTACTTCAGGGTATAATGTTTTGCTTTTCCTTATTAATCTAAAGCAGAACATTTTTGTAAATAAAAGAATATAGTTAAAGCCTTTGAAGGAATTTAGAAATGGTGACTAAGTTGTACTAGTTTGTTGTAGTTGTTTATTTCCCACAGCAAATAAAAACAACATTTGTAGACTTTTAATAAACAAATCTACATATAGAACTGATTATTAAACCAGAAAACCTTAAAATTTATTTTAACTTAAACTAGTCACAGCTTTTAGCTTTGTATAAAATTTGTATGCCTGGCAACGAAAGAAAATTAAAATTTTAACACAGCCATGAAAACATACATAATAGGGTTTTGTACCTTAAACCTCCACATTGTAAAATACAAGCACTGTGGAAATGTGACTAATGATCCAGGCCTTTAACCAAATATAATAGGACTACTGAGAAGCTTTATCACTCTTTGTAGAATAGCTTTCTTCTCACTCAAATTCACATAATTGACTCAGTATTACTCTCTGTGCTACAGCTTATTTCTAAGAAAGATTCTTGGGAAAAAAAAAAACTATACATTGTAAAATATTTTCATTTTTTAAAGTTTTACTTCCACCAAAGGACCTCTGGCTTTGCAAGCAACATTTTTACCTTTTTACTTTTCATTTTTTCATAAGCAAAAATGATACACTTCATATCCATAAAACCAGTACACACGCCTACAGCAACTCTAAGACTTCATGGGCCATCATACAGGAAAGACATTTACTAGAAATACTCCATCCTCATTGCAAGGGTTTCTTTACCTTTCTCCTTCCCCATAACATGTAACTTGGCATAAATGGAAGTGGAACACACAGACTTGGTCAGAGAAGATGGTTAGAATTACAAATGAGAAAGAAAGAAGAGTAGAGCTGAGAATTAGTTTGGGTTTAGGAGTGAGATTGAAAGCAGCTGTGATGGCTGAGATGCATGAACAACTCAGGTGAAGCAGAAAGCAGAGCTGATGACAAGAGAAGACTCAGTTCTAGGTTTCAGGGTTCAAGGTTTTAGTGTCACAAATTTTAAAAAGTCATTCCTGTGCTTTTAGAACTTTTAAGATTCTGTAGAAAGCATAATTTGCTGTCTTATGTATGTCACATATCAGTGAGGGGGGAAAGACAACAAAATGACCATGGAAGTTAAATACTTTGCTTCCTTTTAAGTGAACTGATTTTTAAAGTTTTATGTGTCTAATTTGGGGACCATTTTAACAAGGAACATTTCATCAGTAACAACTGCAGAGAATTTCTGAATTAACTGAGGTATGTATGACTATGGAATCAAGCAAAGCTATTGTCCTGTGTAATCAATGCAGACACGTGTTTGACTACTAAGTAGGCACATACAATAAGAAAACAAAGAGAAGCCAGACAGGGGTTACTTCTGCTATATTCCAATCATAGGGTATGAAAGGAAAAACAGGTTATGTTATAACTAAAGATAAAAGATAGGATGTAAACTTATTTCTCTCTGGTGTTAAACTGGATATCTGGAATTTAATTCTGGTCTCCTATATGCCTTTAAAGGTGGTAGGTAACTTTATCACATGCTACAGGTTTGAACAAAAAAAAAATCACATACTCAAGCATACACACAATTTTACTGCCTTCTTCCCCACCCTCTTTTTGGAGAATCAAAGCTGGCAGAAAGTAGCTTGGCCTGTAAGCTCTTCAGAACTTTCTGTCCTCTCTGGGATAGGGAGACAGCCAGCGAGCTACAGGATTCCTGCAGAGATGTTACTGTTTGATGCCTTTCAGGAATGGATTACTTAAAACGAAGCAAAGTCAGTTCAGTGCTAAAGGCTGTGTGGGACCTTTGCTCCCACATTATTAGGCATTATAGAGTAAAATGAAAGATAAAATTTACTCACATAAACAATATGAATAGCTATTAAAAAGTATATTTTTCTAATTTCTCTGGTACATATGTATCAAGGGCTCAATCACATTAAAATAAAACTGCATATCAAGTATATGTATTCCCACATATGTGTAAACCATGAAGAAAGTGAGGAAAAGAATATTCAATAATAAGCAATACTGGCAGGGCACAAAGACTCATGCCTGTAATCCTAGTGTTTTGGGAAGCCGAGACAGAAGGATGGCTTGAGGCCAGGAGTTTAAGATTAGCCTGGACAGCATAGTGAGACCCCATCTCTATAAAAATTAAAAATTAGCTGGGTGAAACTGCAGTCCTAGCTGCTCTGGAGGCTGAGGCAGGAGGATCACTTGAGCCCAGGAGCTCAAGGATACAGTGAGTTAGGACTGTGCAACTGCACAACAACTTGGGTGACAGAGTGAGACCTTGTCTCTGGGGAAAAAAAAGAAAAGGCAATATTTTGGAGAACATGATAACTCACTGAAATCTAAAAAAAAGTAACATGACATATAATCAGCTCATGCTAATTATCACGGGAAAATATTTTTGATGTGTTTTATATGACTTGATGTCGAGGGATAGGTCTTTATTCTGATTGAATGGTATTTTCACATATTTAATACTACAGAATTAAACAGGAATATTTTATGTGCTTGAATTTAAAATCTGCTCTTGGAGTTAGTGCAACACTGGATATCTCAGATGTTTCTCAGCTGACACATGATTAGTATTTCTATCCAGTACACTACATACTTTGTGAGGATATTGACTCTTAAGACTTTGTTCTGGCTCTTCTAGTCTAAACTATACCTAAATCAATCCAAAAGAGGCAACGGAAAGGTAGTACCTGGTGATGAACTGTCAAATTATATCATAGATTTTAAATGGTATCCACTTAACAGGTTTAAAAGATGGTGCCACAGTCTCCGGTTAAATATTAAGATGTAAGACATGCATTTCCTCTGCTCATTCTCACAATCTGACTAAGGCACATAAAAAAGTCAAAAACCTCAAGAACAGATAATAGAAAAAGAGACAACAATTAGTAAGTAAGTAAATAAATAAATATCAACAAAATTTTGGAAGATGTTAAGTGGATAGAAAAGCAATTAGGTTTCAGCTTTTTCTGCTATACTTGATCTGCAAGGGGAGGAAGTCAGTAAGAAGAAAGCCAATTCATTCATCAGAAACCTGGGAAAAGTACTGTAGACATGAGGTACCTTCAAATACAGGGTTGATGAATGGATAAAATAAGATTAAAAGTCTGTACTGCAGTTATTAAGACTTCCCAGATCTAGCCAGTTGTGGTGGCACGTGCCTGTAACTCTCAGCTACTCGGAGGGCTGGGGTGGGAGAAACATTTGAGCTCAGGAGTTAGAGGCTGCAGTGAACTATGATCATACCACTGCACTACAGCCTGGGCAACAGAGCAAGACTCTGTCTCTAAAAAAAATTTTTTTAAAGACAGATTAAGCAAATCAGTTACTTTTTATCTCTTCCTAAATCCCACCAAAATGATGGTAAAGGAATCTGGCTTTAAGGAACATAAATGAAGTAAGAGAAAAAGCAATAAAATTGTGGGAGCTAGAAAGCAGACTCAACAGAATGAGGAACCTCAATTGGACAGCTGAGAAGAAATTTGACTTTTTACTGCAAAACTCCCCAAAAGGATAAGGAATTGGTTAGATGACAAATAATTCTCTACACTAGGGTAAAAGTGCTGGTTACTGAATGTGTGTGTGGTGGTGGCGGCAGCGGTGGGCGAGGGGGTGGTGGGGGGTAATAATAGGAGGTATTAGAAATAAGTACTAATGAAATTAGTACTTTTTAAAAGTAACCAGTTCAATCTGCCCACATCTGAAGCAAGTATGGAGATTTATGCTTTGGAGAGGGTAAAAAGATAATCTCTGGCCTACCCATATGATTCAGCAACTTACCTCACCATGTGCTCAAAGCTTCCCTTCAGATTTTTAATGTCTCACACTTAATTATGGACAGGCAAACACCAATCACTAGAGCTCTCTAAGAAAAGCCTGTGATGTGAAAGACAGCAACCAAACACAAGCAACTCAGAGTAAAAAGATACTAGGCAGAAAAAAAAAAAAAAACCTTAACAAAATCTATCATTAATATCTTAAATAGACACGGGAAGATAATGTAATCATAAAACGAGCAGAATTCCATCAAAGGGGCAGGTGAACAGAAGAAAAAGAGGTTGTGAAAATTAAAAATTATATCAGAAATTCAAAATAATAAACTCAATAAAAGATTAAGAAACTTAAGAAAATTTCCCAGAAAACCAAATAATATAAAAATATAAACATATTTCTTTCAAGCATGCAAGAAAGAGGATGACATTCTTGGGAAACCAGTTGAGGAGATCGAATATCTGAATAATAAGCATTCCAGAAAGAGAGAAAATAGAGAAGGGAAAAATCACCAATAAAATAATTCAGATGAGATTCGGTGTGTCCAGAGTGGTATGGCTGTAGACACGAATAAAATAATTCAAAACAATTTTCTAGAACTCAAGAACATCAGTTCACAGACTGGTAAAGTCCCAACACAGGGGATGAAAACAGACCCTAAATAAGGCACATCATCATAAAATTTCAACACACTAGGTGGCTAGGTAAAAAAAGATGGTAACGATAATGCAGAGAAAAAAACAGAACTTTAAAAAAAAATCAGATGGCTGGGCGCAATGGCTTACACCTGTAATCTCAGCACTCTGGAAGGCCAAGGCAGGAACCTGGAGGCCAGGAGTTGACACCAGCCTGGGCAAGCTGGGGAGACCCTGTCTCTACAGAAAATAAAGAGAGATGTGATTGCACCACTGCACTCCAGCCTAGGCAACAGAGTGAGACCCTGTCTCAAAAGAAAAAGAAAATAAATCAGAAATTGGATTGGCAGCTGCAGTTCTTAAGAGTAAGAATGGAACTTCAAAGACAAAAACATAATTTTCGGCCTGGAATTCTATTCTCAGCCAAAGGAAAAATTAATTCTTAGGGTAAATTTAAAATATTTTCAAAAGCGCAAGGTCACAAAAAATGTAGTTCCCATGCAACCTTTTTGAAGATGATACTGGAGAATATGCTCTGCCAAAATCGGAAAGTAAACCAAGTAGGAGGCAGACATAGAATATCTTTAAAAAGAGCTCCAATTTGAGGGAGATGCAAAGAGAATCTCTAAGAAGATGACAATCAGTGATACCAGGGGCATAGGTGCACATCAGGTGGGAAGGTCAACCAATCTAGACTGGGGCTTATCTGAGGGTTCCAGGAGGAAAACTCTACTCAAGATGAAATTGACATATTACTTGATACTTCTGAATATATTAAGGCAAGTATTCATCTGTGAATGGTGTTTACATGATCATAACATAAACACTGAATACTGTTCTAAAAACATGACATCACTATATGTGGAAGATGAAATGAATAGAAACTGATCAGTGGCTAACTGCCAGCCCAAAGATACGTGCTTAATCCTTATTTCCAAAGTGAAATGGCAATAGTTAAAGCTTAAAACTAAAATCAAGGAATGGCCTTGAAAGTACATAGAAATATAAAAGTAAGCATGAAACAGAGAAGAGCAAGAAGAAGTTGCCTCTGGAGAGATGGAAATAGAGAAAAGAGTAGGGAACATATATAATTTTAATAAAAATAAGAAAACAAAAATATCTCCCAGTAGTAAAAGACATGAGTTTTCAGATTTAAAGGGTAAATCTAGAACTTAGCACAAGGATAAAATGTCAGAAACCAGAAGAATAAAAAGAAAAAAGCTTCCAGAGGGTTTATGTACAAGGCGAAGGATAGGTATACATGAAAAGCAAAAGGATATCCAATTTCTCAAGAGACTTCAAAATTCTGAAGAAAACCTATTTCTTTCTTAGAATTTTCTACTGAGCCAACCTATCTATCAAGTATGAGGGAAAAAATAAAGATAATTCCAGGCAAGCAAGATTTCAAAAAACAATTTAGCACCCTTTCTAAGGACACCATAGGAGAATGTACTCTGCACTCTGCAAAAAAGAAAAAGAATAAACCAAGGAAGAGGAAATCATGAGATCTAGACAGGGGTAGAGGGAATTCTTGGAAGACAGTGAAGAAAGTCACAGGATATTAGCTATGCTGGAAGTTTAGAAAACTGAGGGCTCCAGGAGGATATTTCCATGGGAAAAAAAAAAACAGAAATGAAGTATCTGAACTATTGAGGTTCTACCAATTCTGTGGAAGTTTACAGTTTCCACAATTATAAAAATAAAAAATTATTTAAGGAAGGTAATAATACACTATAATGCCTGGCTGTAAATAATATTTTCATAGGCACAACATGGTAAAAGTGACTATAAATTTAATAAAATGTTATCTCTAACTATTTTGGGAGAATGAAAGAAGGGAAGAAAAGGGAAGAGGGAGAAAGGTGCAATAATATATAAATAGTAACATTATCACAAAATATTTAAACACAAGGAAGGAATTCCCAAAAGAAATGCCTAAAAGAGGTGAATGTGGCTGTCTCTGTGACATTAGACTTGGATAAGAAAAAGCAGGGCACTGGCATTTTTCTTATATTTAGCTTTTTAAATTATTTACCTCTATTACTTTGAAAAATATTTTCAATTACATAAAAAAGATTTCAATAAAGAAAAGTTATCTAATGACATAAAATCTTTCTCAAATCAGAGATGAGATCTAATGGTGTTATCTGCAAAATAAATTAATATTAATGATGTTTTGAAGGATACATTGCAAAAGACAAAACAAGTAGGCACCAGACTAAGCTGATATTCATTTCCTGTGTAGGCTTCATAAAATTGTAGTAGACTTCAGTTACTAGATACACAACTGTAGCAGCCACTGTGAAATCCACCAGCCACTGGTATTCTGGAAAGTAATGCAATGCTGGAAAGAAAAAAAAAAAAAAAAAAAAAAAAGGTCAAAAAAAACAGTTTCACTTACATTTTCATAAATAACTTATGAGGATTTATTTATAATTAAAATACGCTAGACTTTATTTGTTCATTTGCAATGTAAGATTTACAAATATATGAATCTAAAAATGCAAGAAATAGACTGAGGATGTTAGCATCCCAAACTAAATTTTAATACCTCACAAATTAAAATAAACGTTAAAAGATTACCAAAAGTTATTTAAGTTGTTGGTAAAGTATGATTGCAAATTTACTGGTATTGTCTTAACTGATTAGCTACTTTTTACAGAAATTATTAGTAAATATTTTCTTTTAAATATCTAGCTATGATACCTTAACTTCAGAAAACAACTTAGTCTGGAACACAACAATTTAGTTATACTGTTCACTTTTGTGAAGTAAGAGTTTAACTTTATGTTACAATTATTGGCTGTACTAATTGTAAACTAGTAATTCTGTGAGATACTACAGATTAAAATAATAAACAAGAACAGACGCGGTGGCTCACGCCTGTAATCCCAGCACTTTGGGAGGCCAAGGTTGGCGGATCACCTGAGGTCAGGAGTTCAAGACTATCCCGCTTCTACTAAAAGTACAAAAATTAGCCGGGCATTGTGGCAGGTGCCTGTAGTCCCAGCTACTTGGGAGGCCGAGGCAGGAGAATAGCTTGAACCTGGGAGGCAGAGGTTGCAGTGAGCTGAGTTCACACCATGGCACTCCAACCTGAGTGACAGAGAGAGACTCCATCTCAAGAAAAATAAAATAATAAACTAAATATACCTCTTATACCCTATTTTGTTCTGCAAAAAAGTTTATAAAATGTCTGTTGATTTTCTATAAAACCATACCCCTTCAACAAACTATTCCATTCTTAAGAGTTTACATTGAAATTAACATTCTTTGAAAGTAAATATAATTCCATCACCCTTTGCATCTCAGGTGGCATAGGTATTCTGGTTTACTTCTACCAGAGTGTAGTCCAAAACATCAACATCATTTTTTAGAAGGCCTCCTAAAAATGTGGAAGTAAATCATGTACATAACCATCAATTCAGATGTTCTTATGGCACATAATAAAATGATCTGCATTGCTTTGGACAATTTTTAGTCATGAAATATAATGCAATTACACTTGAAGATACGATATCCTTATAGAAAAAGTATTTTGAAAATATCACATACAGTAAGACCTATTAAAAGTAGTATCAAAACAAACTAACCAAATTTTGTACCATTTCTATAAGATGATCATAACATTTTTCCAAAATCCTATTATGATTAATTTTTAAATTTGCATCAAGTTATTTTAACATTCTTAATCTGCTTCAACGTACTTTAACTTTTAGGTTAACTGCTTTAGGTTTTCTGAGAGTGCAGTGGTGTGATCATAGCTCACTGCAGCCTCAGCTTCTCGGGCTCAAACAATCTTCCCACCTCAGCTTTCCTAGTAACTGGGACTACAGATGCACACCACCACACTCGGGTAATTTTTTAATTTTTTGTACAGACGTGGTTTCACTATATTGCCCAGGCTGGTCTCAAACTCCTGGGCTCAAGCCATCCTCCTGCCTCAGCCTCCAAAAGAGGTGGGATTACAGACATGAGCCACTGCCCCCAGCCCTGCTTTAGGTTTTCTATTGTGATTGACCTACAGTTTCTGAACATAAGCCTGAAAGATACTGATGTGGTTACAGGATGCTTACCCTCAATCCCTTCCCCCTGCTAAGAAAAAAAAAAATCACCCATACTGGGCTTTCATCTGGAAGGAGGTCAGGGAAGTGGATGGAAAGGATAGACCAAAATCCATTTACGGTTTTCAATTTTATTATCAATAATTGAAATAAGCATTCTAATTCTCCAAACCTACCCATACTCATAGGGACTTCTTCCACGTAACTCACTCATAGCAGACAGTGAAGTGACATTCAAAAGTTCTAATGTTCTTTAAGAGGTTCTTATAATAGATAATACAAATTAAGACAGACTTTCATGATAATTATTGGGACATCAATAATATATACATTCCATGAAAGTACAAATTATATATATTCTTGGCTATTTAACTCAAGTGTTATATTCCTTGTGTAATCAATAATACAATTATATATATGCCTTTTAATAAAATATTGAAGTCAAAAGAAGTTAAGACAGAAAACCCCATACTTTCACCTAATCACATATATACAACATGCATTCACAAATGACTACAAAAACTTATAAACATATATGAACATCTCCCTGCTATTCTGGTTAACTGGAAATGCTCTTGATGTTACATGACCAATTGATAAATGAGTATCATTTGCAACTAGTTCTCAAAATCCTAAAAGTGAAACCAAATACTCCATAAACTACATGCTAAAGCTACAATACCCTAAATTCATTTTTTTTTTTTAGTTCGTTGAAATAGCCTAGTTCTCACTAAATGGCTGTACCACATTCAGTGTGTAACCCTGTCCATGTTATTCAACTCTTCTTTCTAATGAGTTAAGAAAAAAAAAAAACTGGTAAGTTACCCACTTCAGAATTGTGCAGATGGGGTAATACAAGTAAAATATTATAACAATGTCTGATACTCAATAATTTTAAGATCTTATTAATTAGCTGACAAAGTATTCAATAAACATTATTAGTAAAAATGTCAAAACTACTAAAAATCAGGAAGAATGTTTATATATTCTTGTATTTATACACGTCTATGAACATTTTATACAAGTAAGCGCATATAGGAGTAGTGAAACAAATGTGACAACTACTAATCAAAAAGTCAAAGTGCCTTTAAATGTTTTAAATGTTGAATGTAAAACAGTTAAAAAGAAAAAAGAGGAAGACATAACCAGTCTTAAAAGTCTAAATGGGCCAGGTGCAGTGGCTCATGCCTGTAATCTCAGCACTTTGGGAGGCCGAGGCGGGCAGATCACGAGGTCAGGAGATTGAGACCATCCTGGCTAACACGGTGAAACCCCGTCTCCACTAAAAAATACAAAAAAATTAGCCAGGCGTGGTGGCAGGCGCCTGTAGTCCTAGCTACTCAGGAGGCTGAGGCAGGAGAATGGCGTGAACCTGGGAGGTGGAGCTTGCAGTGAGCCAAGATAGCACCACTGCACTCCAGCCTGGGTGACAGAGCGAGACTCCATCTCAAAAAAAATAAAAAAAAAAAACAGTCTAAATCATATTAGACAAGTGATTTATATTGTTCTTCACTGATATTTTTTAGTTCTAGGACATGCTTTACATATACATACAACCTTTACAGATGTAATAATAAACTTTCACGTATTTCGAAGCCACTTTGTATCACAAAATAATCCTATTTGAGATGCTGGACCTCTTAAGATTTTTTGATGGTGGTATGATTTAACCCAAGAAGGGTCAAATTACATAATGACACCTTATATGACATTATCAAAATTATTTTTTAAAAACACGCATCATTTCATTTATCACATAAACCAGTGGTTCTCAAACCTAGTCAAAAATCAAAATCACTTGGAGCACTTTTAAAAATACAAATTCCTAAAACCTACTCTAGATTTACTGAATCTTCAAGGATAGGAGTAGGGAATCTATTTCAAAGAACTCATCAAGTGGTTTTGATATATCCCCAAGTTTAAAAACCAGTGTTTTAAATTGTTATCAACTTAGATGCCTTTCCCTTCTAGGATTCAAATAATTTCATATTAATATTATTTTAAACTAGAATCATTGTCATTATATAATTACAAAAATTGAGATACTACATTTCTATAATATATAGGAGGAAAACTAAATGACCTATTTGGAAATAAATGGATGAAAGTAAATCCTGAATAAGTAAATTTTTCTGATTTGTAATCCAGTTCAGTATTCTAAAACCATTTTCCTTTCTACTATATGTGAGAATAAAATTGAATTACTCTAAATATGGGTAATTCAATAGAAATGCAGTTGATCCTTGAACAATACAGTTTGAACTGTGCGTGTCTACTTATATGCAGATTCTCTTCCACCTCTGCCACCCCTGACCAGCAAGACCAACCCCTCTTCTTCCTTCTCCTCCTCAGCCTACTGAAAGTGAGTATCACAGTGTTGAAGACTTTTATGATGATCCACTTCCACTTAACAGGAAATATATTTTTTCTCCCTTGTGATTTTCTTAATAACATTTTCTTTTCTCTAGCTTACTTTATTGTTATAACACAGTATATAATACACATAACACACAAAATATGTTTTTGTTTTTTTTTTTTTTTTTTTTGAGACGGAGTCTCGCTCTGTCGCCCAGGCTGGAGTGCGGTGGTGCGATCTCGGCTCACTGCAACCTCCGCCTCCCGGGTTCACGTCATTCTCCTGCCTCAGCTCCCTGAGTAGCTGGGACTACAGGCGCCTGCCACCACGCCTGGCTAATTTTTTGTATTTTTAGTAGAGACGGGGTTTCACCACATTAGCCAGGATGGTCTCGATCTCCTGACCTCATGATCCGCCCGCCTTGGCCTCCCAAAGTGCTGGGATTACAGGCGTGAGCCACCGCGCCCAGCCAAAATATGTGTTGATTTTTTATGTTATTGGTAAGTCTTCTGGTTAGCAGTAGGCTATTAGTAGTTAGGTTATGGGGGGTAAAAAGTCATACGTCATACTCGATTTTTCAACTGCATAAAAGTAGGCACCCCAACCCCTGGGCTGCTCAAGGCCGGACATTTCAAATGCAGTTTTGCAAGCCACATTAGAAAAGGGCAGACTGAAATAAACAGTAAAAGGAAGTCTAGAATTCTAGATAATAAAAATTGACTGTGACCTCAATCTAATAAACAGAAACTGTGTAATAAATTTGTGTAAGTTAGCCTCTTCCGAAAATAGGAAAAATAATACAAGTTAGGTGAACAAAAAAATAAATTTAATTCAAATGAAGTCATTTGAGCTTCTAAGTTCTTAGAAAGATTCCATATTCTCTATAATGGACTTAATGATTAAAATGAAAGTACTTTCACTACTATAATATAAAACTGAGATTTATAGAACATTTTATCAAGATTTCCCTTACCTAAAGTATCCACTTCTGTAACTGACTTTGTTTCTAGATGAAGGTCAATATCCTTTGGAATGGTTAATGGCTTACTTTCAATGTGACCATTATATTTCCTATAAAAATCAGACAAGTGACACAAAAAACAAGTTACCTACACTGTTATCCAAGTGCTTGTTTCAAACTAATTACAGATGAAGTTTTAAATTTCACAGTGAAAAGGCAGAATTTCTAATATTTCATCAATAAGGAGGTAAAGTACTCAAAGGTAGTTTTTAAAGGGGTACTATAAAATCTGAATGTAAATTATCATGTGAATATACAGATTACCAGGGAAATAATTACCTAAATTAGTTACTGCAACAAAATCTTTTTTTTTCTAGCTTAGCATTTCACACCCATTTCTCCTACTCTCTTTTCTCTTTAGGCACAAGAGTAAATGCAAATGAAGACAAAGTGCACTTCTCCTTGAAGTGACGTGTATAAACACACACACACACATACATATAAACAGACCCGGAACCATATGCAAGTCAGAGTTGAAGAAAGATTTACGTGTATGAGAAATTCAGAAACATGAAAGACTAACTTGGAATAGTTTTTACTAAAAATCACAGATGAAGGAAAACAAATTCTTCCGGTGTATCTGTATGATTCCCAAATTTAATTTTTAAAGACAAACATATAGAAAGCAATAAACTAAGGTTTCAATTTATTACTTTATGTATTTCTTTAGACACACAGTTGCCCAGGCTGGACTCAAATTCCTGGGCTCAAACAATTTTCCTGCTTCAGCCTCTGAGTAGCTGGGACTACAGGTACACACCCCCATGGCCAGCTTCAACTAAGTTTTAATAATATTAATTTCAATACTGAAAAACAACTTTGCATTTATCCTTGAATAAAAAACTGGAAAGCCTCAGTAAAAAATAATTTCATGTTAATAAACCAAACAATAATTCTTGTTACTAGGAACAAGGCAGCAATGTTAATGTATCTTTTTGTAACTATAAGGCATGTTCAACCTATTAAAAATTACTGCAGAACAGAATTATTCATTACAAGGCATTATAATAAGGATTCAGGCCAGGTGCAATGGCTCGCACCTGTAATTCCAACACTTTGAGAGGCCAGGAAGATCGAGGCAGGAGGATTGCTTAATCTCAGGAGAGACCAGCCTGGGTAACACCGGGAGACCCTGTCTCTACAAATTTTTTTTTTTAAAAACTAGCTGGGTATGGTGTTGCATGCATCTGGTCCCAGCTACTCAGGAGGCTGAGGTGGGAAGATCATCTGGGCATGGTGTTGCATGCATCTGGTCTCAGCTACTCGTGAGGCTGAGGTGGGAAGATCATTTGAGCCTAAGGAGGTTGAAGCCACAGTGAGCCAGAATTGTGCCACTGCACTTCGGCCTGAGTGACAGAGTGAGACTCTTTCTACATAACTAAATTTTACAAATGTTGAACATAGTAGCTATAAATGGGTGGAAGGGGAATAGTTAAAAAGAAACAGAAACTAAAAACTAACCTAGATTCAAATCCTGGTTACCAGTACGTAACCTTACTAGTTATGTAAATTTGGGCAACTCATTTAACATCTCTGATCCTAGCTTCTCATTAGTAAAGTGTAAATTAAATTATTAGCTAACACGGTTGTTTTGTGGATTAAGTAGAACTGTGTATAAAAGTGCTCTGGAAACTATAATGTTAGGCAGGACTATTTTATTAAAGAACTTAACTACTGGAATAAAAAGAAGGAAGGTTTACTATTAATAGTCCAATGAGCTTCCAGGTATATTTGTAATGATAAGTGAAAAAGGATGGTAGTAAGATCAAAAAAGACAGTCTTTTCAAATTTCCAATTTGATGCCAAATAATCATTAATGTTTAATCATTTTTTAGCTTCTATAAATGTATTAGGCTAGGTTAGCATTTTTATGATATACATGAGAAATATGGTTATAATTTGTTGTCAATCAATCATTTCAGAGTCACAGGGGACCTAAGAAGTCCTCCTAGATCCCCAGTTGAGAAAACTACGGTCCATTCAGAGAGGTAATTAACATACACTTTCCCTAAGAATTCTATTTAAATAGAGATATAAAATCTTAAAGCTGGAAGGATTATTCAAAACATTGTTTTGTTTACTCTGTCCAAGTCACAGATGAGGCTTCTATGGTCTGTTCTGTGAGGTCAATTAGTAGGTAGTTCTCTTCATAAACTTTAAACATGAAAAGAACATTCAGGAGCTGATGGGACCTACACAGTTATATTGTCCCTCCCTTTTAATTATAAAATGAGGAAACTGAGGCCAAGAGCAGGTTAATTTCCCCAATGCCACAATACACAGTAGCAGCAAAAACTGGAAAATAACCCAAACCAACTGACGTCTTTAATTAGTTGTAGGATAAAGATATGGGTTATAAGTCTCTCCCCAGTCAACCCCCAATTACATTTTCTTTAGTATGATGGCTATATTGTTTTCATGATTTAAACAAAGAATAAAGTTCTTGAGTAAAATAATCACTATTTTGTGTGTATATATTACTACAGATTAGATTTTCATGGGTTTTGATCTCAAATTTATCAACTACTTACAACATAATTGGTACATGTTTCTTTAATCAAAGCATAAAAATGTATTTATATAAATTGTGTTAAATATTTATTACTTTACAAGCTCAATAAAACTTACCTATCTTTTTTGGTTTTCCCTTTTTGTTGTTTCCCTGCAAGAATTCTTAATTCTTCTTCTGTAGGATGTTGATACCACCTCAAACTAAGCAAAAAAAGAATTCTTTTAAATAAAGCGCTTAAAATCACCAGAATTATTCTTCATCCTATAAATATTTATTAAGTTTCATATTTGTGAAGACACTGTCGAGAAATATCAGGTGAAAACTGTAATCTGAAACAAATACTAACTCTTAAACTTTAAAAGGGTTTAGATAAACATCCAGCAGACACTTAACCAACCACTTACTAGATGCCAGGTCCTACAATGCCATTTGTATGTATATTTCTTACAAATGACAATGTATTAATACATATTAAGATTATACAGGCTTATTATTAAAAGTAAATAAAGTGAAGTCTGTAGCCAAGTGGGCAGGAGCACATTAATTCTCTACTAATCCCTCATTTGAAGGAATTGAGAGTTATCTTAAAAAGAGAGGTGTTTGAATGAATTCTCACATTTACAGGTAGTCTTTCCTTTCTTTCCCTTTTTTAATTTAGTTCGAGAATTCTCAAACTTTGTGTGTAGAATAATTACAGAAAATCATTGTATTAAAAAACACTTCACTTTTAGCTATATCTAACCTTCCTCAGGTAAGGATCCAACAACTGGTTGTATCCCTCTCTACCACAGTCAAAATACTTTAATCTGAAGTGAAGAAATACTCACGATCCAAATTAATCAATTATTCCCTCCCAAGCACCAAGTGGCTCATCCTGAATTTCATGGCTTGCCTAGTCATCCCAACTATCTACAAATCACTTAAATTTGATATTCATATCTTATTTTCAATGTGCCCTCTCCACATGCTATTATTAATTCTGTTTCTCAACTCTTAAAATTCTAAACTCTGCCCTACTGCAGAGACCTTAGTTCAGACCTTAGTTCAGTGTATCTTCCTCTGAACATCTGACTACTGCAAAATTCTCTCACTGGTATCCTCCCTGCCTTCCTGTGGACACATTACTCATCAAATCCATCTGAGCTTACCTCTAGTTATTGGTTTTTTTTTTTTTTATCTTACAGAAAGGTGGACCACCTTTACTTATTTTTCCGTAATACAAATCTTATCAAGACCCATGCCTGTTTAAATCATTTCCAAGGCTCCTCACAGGGAAAAGCAATGAATAAGGCAGCTAGGCAAAAACTTTGACAAAGGCCCTATTATTACAAAGGAAAAAATGCATATCTAGTATGCTAGACCCCCCAATTCTTCAATTACAAAAATCTAGATTTTTTAAATTTGAAATTTCCCAATTGCTGTTCCCCCCGTCCTCAAAATAGAGACAGGGGCTCACTTGGTTGTCCAGGGTAGTCTCGAACTCCTGGCTTCAAAGGATCCTCCCTCCTCAGCTTTCCAAAATGCTGGGATTATAAGCATTAGCCATGGTGCACAGTCTCTTTGATTTGCTGTTTTAAAAACACGGCAGGCCAGGTATGGCGGCTCATACCAGTAATCCCAGAACTTTAGAAGGCTGCAGGATTGTCTGAAGCCAGGAGTTTGAGACCAACCTGGGCAACACAGTGAGACCGTATCTCTACAAAAAATTAAAAAACTAGCCAGGTCTGGTGGCATGCACCTGTGGTCGGGGGAGAGGGTGAGGTGGGAGGACTGCTTGAGCCTGAGAAGTCAAGGCTGTAATGAGCCATCATTGTGCCCCTGCATTCCACTCTGGGCAACAAAGTAAGACCCTATCTCAAAAACAAAACAAAACAAACAAACAAAAAAACTGCAACAACTGTAGAACTGGCAATCTGAGTACCCACTGAATATTTGATTACATTAAAAAATTTTAGGTATGATAATGAGATTGTGGTAATTTTTAAAAATCTCATTATTTTTGATATATATACTGAAATGTACGCTGGGGGAAGTACAGATGAAACAAGTTTGGCCATCAGCTATTAATTGTGATGAGTACACAGGAATTCATAATTCTATCTACTCCTTGTATACTTGAAAATTCCCATTAAAACACATATTTCAAGGCCCACATGTGTATGGGGGTCATGCATTATCTCTTGCTTCTACAGCCTTTCATGATCTGACCAATGCCTACTTCTCCAGATTCACCTTCAACCATTCCCATTTGAAGGTGACACTTTCTGGCTTGACTAAGTGACATTTTCTTCCTCACAAATTCTTTCATCCCTTGGTGCTTTTTGCATATATTCTTCTCTCCTTGTGAACACCTATGCCCCTACTTGGCAAACTCTTATCTCCTATTGTTTACAAGCAGTCTTCTTGTGGTATAATAAAAAATATATCTGCTCTTTGTCCCCAGTTCTTGGCACAGAGTTTTAAAAGTCCTTATAAAAACAAGAGTGTAGAAGTATCTTTGTTATGCTAATGAGGTAGGTCAAGGTGGGCCCCAGATAGCTGCAGGATGGAGCTGATTATCAGAAACACCAAGCACATGATTAGAGGGTCAGGACTTTCAGGAACTTGACCTCCAGTGATGGGAGGGGCCTGGAAATTAAGTTGGATCATTGAAATCAATTTCGTATCAATGACTTAAAATTGTCCCTATATAATGAAACTCAAAAAAACTCTGGACTTCAAAGCTCAGAGAAAATTCCTGTTGGTTAACACATTGATGTGCCCAGAGGGTGAAATCCTGACTTCAGAGTGAAAGGGCATGGAAACTCTGCTCTTTCCCAGAACTTACCCTATGCGCTTTCTTTAAATAATACTGTAATAATAGATAAAGCAGTTTCCTAAGTACTATGAATCATTCTAGCAGATTACTGGATCTGAGGGGATCATGGGAATCCTCAAATTTGTAGCCTATTAATAAGTGAGAAGTGCAGGTGGCCTGGGTACTCTGAAAACTTGAAACTGGTATCTGAAGTGGTGACAATCTTACGGAGAACTTCGCCTTTAACCTGTGGGGTCTGTACTAACTCCAGGTAATTACTGTCAGAATACAAGTGCAGTATACTCAGTTGGTTTCAGATAAGTTGGATTAAAATGGAATGTTACCCTAAGTGAAAGATTCTTGGAGAAAAGATTTTATGGCTTTCTTGCTTTTTGTATACTTCAAAGTTAGTACAGTTACTGGCATAGAGCAAGTGCTCAAAAACAGTAACTGAACCAAACGGAATTCAGTTCTTTGCCTAATGAATTTACGATAAAAAATATATATATCCCAACCTAAAAGTCCCTAAATTACAATAAACAGGTAAGGAGGCACTTCCTGAATTTATACTGAAGTCCAGAATTTTAACTTACAGAATTGATTCTCGTTATTCGCGGTAGTTAGGTTTTATAAAGTTGCCACAAACACTGAACCATTGCTCCTAGGGGAAATACAGGGTTAGGTTCCTGCGAGCCTCTGGTCATAACATTTTCATAAACTGATCAATACCCAAGCTTCTTTTATGTGTGTTTCTGTTTAAAGATATCTTATTTAATATATATCATTGATTCACTAACATTGAATTCACAGCCAAAAGCATAACTCATCCCTGAGCAAAGCTTACCTAATACCAGTAATCATTAAGTATAGCATTTTTTTTTAGTTCTGTGTGTCATTCCAGCAATTTTTTTCCATAAAGCAGCCTTCTTGTGCTTACGAATACTAGACACTACCTTCAGCACTATGCTTGGGGGCCATTTTAAACAGCAAGATCACCAACGAAAAGCAAAATTGTAAAAAAATGTGGCCCTAAACAGATCATAAAAAGGAGATTTGTTTACAGTATGACAGCCGAAACAATAAGGCAGACTGTTGCCTTGTTAGACCTCAACCAGGAACATGCATGTATGGACCACTCAAATTTTTCGTCCCTGTCTATGTCCATGAATGACCATAAAAGCACTGATTTTGGAATTACAAATAAATTTTAGCAAGTAGGCAAATCACAAAACAAAATCCACAAATAATGAAGATGAGTGCATAACATTTAGAAGAACACTTATAAGAAATAACTCATATAAAAGAAAATGATCCAGAATAACTCATGTATAAAGACTAAAATTAGTTGTTCAGCTTTGAGAAATAATAATTAGTGAAAGAACTCTCAGTATAGGAAAAATTAGATTTTATTTAGAGCCCTATAGTAATGAAATATTTTAAGACACATTTTCTTATTTTTTTTTTCTGAGACAGAGTCTCACTCTGTCACCCAGGCTGGAGTGCGGTAGCACGATCTTGGCTGACTGCAAGCTCTGCCTCCCGGGTTCATGCCATTCTCCTGCCTCAGCCTCCCGAGTACCTAGGACTACTAGCGCCCGCCACCATGTCCGGCTAATTTTTTGTATTTTTTAGTAGAAATGGGGTTTCACCGTGTTAGCCAGGATGGTCTCCACCTCCTGACCTCATGATCTGCCCGCCTTGGCTTCCCAAAGTGCTGCGATTACAGGCGTGAGCCACCGCGCCTGGCCTTAAGACACATTTTCTTTTTAAATATACTCATATTTGTTAAATCTTATTTTGTAAACTCATTTCTCTAAAATGGCTTAGATTTATTACATTTCCTATGGGATAACTCAGGGTTATCTTTATTAGTGAGAATTATTGTTCAAAGTTGGAATCTAAGGATGCTCGATACTTTTAGGGTCACTTCTAGTCTGTTATTCACCTACCCATTCATTCATTTATCAGTCACTTAGGGAGAACCTTCTGTATTCAGATACTCTGCTAGGCAGAGGAGATATAATCACAACCAATTAAAGCCAAAGCCTTTGCCTTTTTGATGGTTATATTCCAGTTGGGGTAAAATTTAACCAATTAAATAGTGAAAAATAAATTGTCATACCACATGAAAGAATGAAACAAGTGGTGAAAATGTGAGAGACAGCCTTAGATATTAGGTGAGGAAAAACTTCTCTGAGACATTTAACCAGCAACCTAAAGAATGAGAAAACAGAAGAAGAGCATTTCAGGCAGAGAACACCAAATCCAAAAGCACAGAGGCATGAAAGAACATAGGACATTACAGTAACTAAAAGGCAATGAGGCAAGAGCTTCAAGGAGAAACATAAGAGGGGACTGAAGAGGTAAGAAGGGAACAGATCATGCAAAGGCTAATAGGTCATAGTATGGACTTCAGATTTTATGCTAAATAATGGTCTCAAAGCAATGTAGATAAATAATTTGATTCACATTTTAAGATCCCTTTGGTTGTTCTGTGAATTAGAGGGAGACAAGGGCAGTGAATCAACAGGTCTTGCTGATGGACTAAAGGTAGAGAGTGAACAAAAGTAAGCAATAAAGGATAATATCTACATTTCTGATTTGAAGATGATGGTACCTTTTCTGATATGGAAGAGATCAGGAAGAAATCAAGAACTTAAAAATGCTGAGTTTTAAGTACCCATGAGACATCAAGTAAAAGTGACAGGGCAACTAGATATTAGAATCTGCAGTTCAGAGATAATTTGAGGTGATTACATAATTGTGGCACCTAAATCCATAGGGATTAATAAAACCAACTAAAAAGGAACTAAAAGATAGTATAACACTAGTTAATGAGAAAGTGAAAAAGTAAAGTTTATGTAGACAACATTTCAACAAAGTTGGCTACAAAGGGAAATAGAGGAATGGCCAAAAACTAAGAAATGGATATGGAGGGGCTTTGTTTTTTAAGGGGGAGAGAGGTAGGGCTGTGACTTCTTTATTCGTTGTTGTTACTTTAAATGGGAGAAGTTTAAAAAAAAAGTGTGTGTGGTAACAGGAATAATCCAACTGAAATGGAGCAGGTGATAAAATACATTTTACAAATTTAAAGATAAAGAAGAGGGGCTGCACATTTAACCAGAGTTGTGGTTTGGTAGTATACAGATGAGAGTGATGGGCGCTTGTTTCAAGAGCTTAGGGTGAGGCTGAGGTACAGATGCTTAAGTTTTGGAGAGAAAGGATTTAGGTTGAAAAAGTTGTCTGAGAAGTACAGCATACAAACTCTGCCAGGCAGTATAAAGCAGCCATCTAAGGTCTGTGATCATAGATTCCAAGTAAAACCTACAAGTACAGTTTCACAATTTTCTTTAGCAGTCAGTGTTGCATATACAGTTTGATTCCACATAGCATGGTTCCCAGCTACTACATTTTGTATTCTGGTCTCAATTTCCAGTCTTTTCCTTTGGTATTAAGTGGTATGTCTATCTCAATAAAATGACGGCCTGCTTGCAACTGCTGCACTATGCTTGCCTTTCTAATATGGGCTTGGAAGACAGATACAGATATAAAAGTCATTAGAATGTAGCATGTAGAATGTACTCTTTTTGAAATGGGAAAAAATATATTTCTTAGAAAATTGAGAGTAAGTATTAACAGAATCTCACTTAAAAACTCAGTTGGGTGTGGTGGCTCACACCTGTAATCCCAACACGTTGGGAGGCTAAGGCAGGAGGATTGCTTGAGCCTAGGAGTTTGAAACCAGCCTGGGCAACATAGCAAGATCCTGTCTCTAAGATAAATAAATAAGCCTTTCATATTTAAGTTAAATATACAACTTTCAGTACATAGCTTTTACTTTGGCTACTTGGTGGCTTTTTTCACTTATGCTCAGATTATCTGCAGTGACTCTGATAATAAAGCCAATCTGATACTGTACTCTACTAAATTAATTTCTCAATGATCATTCTTATATAAACCTCTAATATAAAATATTATCAGACAACTACAACTCTTACTAAAACAGTTCAACACTGAAAAAATATGTAGCAGAAAATATAGAATGTCCTGACCTAGACTTTATTTTTAAAATTTAAGTAGCATTTATAGTGCTTTAGAAATTTTAAGAAATAAAACTTTTAGAAATTTAAAATAGAAACCTAAATGTGAGCAAACACAGAAAAGCACAGTTTTAATAGCACAAGCTAAATAAGCTTTAATACATAATCATATAAAACTCTATTTCATGATATACAACATAGGTCACTGCTATAGACTGAATGTTTATGGTCCCCACCCCCCTCAAATTCTTGTGTTGAAATCTAATCCCCAGTGTGATGGTATCTGGAGGTGGGAACTTTCAGGAGTTTCTAGTTCGTGAGAGTGGAGCCCTCATTAATAGGATTATTGCCCTTTTAAAAGGAGGTCAGAGAACTAGCTTGTTCTCTTTCCACCAGGTGGTGATACAAGAAGTAAGCAGTCTGCAACCTGAGAGAGGGTCCTTACCAGAACCTGACCATACTAGCATGCTGACCTCAGACTTCCAGCCCCCAGAACTGAGAAATACATTTCTGCTGTTGAGAAGCCATCCAGTCTATGGTACTTTGTAATAGCAGCCCTAACCTACTAAAACAGTCACTAATGACAGTTTTAGTCTCCATTCTAAATCTATAATTTTGACCAGTGGAGGGGAGGCTTAAGCAAAAACAAATACCACTTAAAACCTAGACAATCTTTCAGCGCAAGTAGCTAAAATGCTATTTGTTGTACACATTATATACACTTGTTAGAAATTTTGATAGAATATCATGAACATTCTGGAACTGGAAGTTAAAAAAGCTAAGGCGAGGAGAGCAAGGACTCAGGCATTCCGTTAAGGGTAGTAGCTGAAGGTTTAAATTTTTCCCTTAGGTCATAGGTCCCACCTACTGTGCATCTGAATGGTAGGTTTCTCTCATCAAAGGGAACTTGCAGATTACTGGATCAGGCAACATGCAATAAAGAACAGGCAAAAAGAATTAGAGCAATTGGATATGAAGGTGTTATAACACCCTCTTTAACCGATATGGGATGAGACAAAAATCAGAATAAATCTGACCATAATATATTTTCAGTGAGGGACTTATGAAGGGAAGCAGCAGACCAAACTAGACTTCAGAAGATAAAGGGGTAGAGAAAAACGCATGAGGTTTGAACTGAGCAATTAGAAAAAACAGAAAGCAGGTTCAGCAAGGAAGCTATCACAGAGAAAAAGCAGTATCCTACTCCTCATGCAAAACCCACTATTCAAATGTACAAAGAATATAACCTAACACTTACCTCTCCAAGAAAAGAGGGGCCAAGCAAACTTCAAAACAAAAAGGAACTTTTATTACAATACAAAGTAGTGAATACTTTGGCTACAAATCAGTGGTATATGGGACATGATAAGAACGTCTTTAACTGATATGACCAACTGTTAGAACAAGTGTTCCTTATATGAGGGAAAGCAGTTCACAACAGAGAAACAACTTCTAAGGATTTTTGTTCCCTTTTAGGAAGGAAAGAGAAAGAGACAGTGTGAGGGCATTAGATTCTTAAACTCTACTTAATACTTAGCATGCTTTTGGTAATCAAATGCTGATGTGCCTTTTAATTTAATTTAAAATAAAAGCTGATTATGTTGTCATGGAGAATCCATAAGAACATAGCAAGTGAACTGCATACTACTTATAACCTATAGGATATATTCTAAAAGACGAAGTATGGCTTGAAAAACAAAATAGAAAAGGAAAATAATTTAAATAAATTACTCCGTAAACTGCCAACAAAAGTCACAGTGATTGTAGAAAAGTTGTATTTGTCTCCCCAACCAAATTTAAAACTCTATTCAAGTATGACAGTTCCAGGACAAGATGTGGAACTGATGAGCAGCCATAAATCACATAAATACTAGACTGTGAATCAGACTTTCAGGATAAGAGGTCTGGATCTGTTTCATTTATCAGTGTGTGAAACTGAGTAAATCATTTAAAACTTGTTTTGTCATTTGTAAAAATGGAGATAATATCACCTATGGCAGAAAGTAACTAGGTACTCACCAATCTTGTTTTTTATACCATAAGTATTATTTCCCAGCCTCCCCTGCACTTTGGCCAGAACTAGTCACAAGGCCCCAGCCTATGTAATGTGGGCAAAAATGATGTATCTACTTCTAAGTTTGACACTTAAGAATCTCCTGAAAGATCCACAGCTCACTCTCTCTTCACTCACCAACTGGCACAGCAATCTAGCAGGGGACTCCAAGGTAGCAGGGGGAACAGAGGAGTCCTAAGGGAAGAAGGATAGCTCAGAGGATAGCTGAGCCCTTGAGTCATCATTTTGTGAGGGACCTACCTGGAGAGCTGCCCAATCCCTTTCTGATTCCCCATTTTGACCCTGCTTCCTGTCTGAAGAAACTGAGAAACTTCCATTAATTTTATAACACTGAGATTTTGGAAGTTGTAACATATCACCACACCTCCCTAGCTCAATGAACAGATCTAAATGAAACAAAACATTTAAAAAATTGTATCAGTATAAAATTTTAAACAATTATAAGGGTAATATTAATAGAGTTAAACCAGACTACTATACAGTTTCTTTTAAAAAAAAAGTTTAAAAGAACAGTCTAAAAAAAATACTAATAGCAATATGTGTTATTTAACAAGAGCTACAAAATTAGTCAATTTTTTAATATTAAAAATCAACAAACTAATTTGTAAGTAAAAGCTGCTTATTCCTTCAAGTATAATTGCTTATTTTGTCAAGGTATTAACTCTTTCAGGAAAATGGCTTACTCATTAAGTCGACATACAATTGTCCCCAGGTATCTGAGGGAAACTGGGGGTAGGTGGGGGACCATCCAATGCCCCCAACACCCCTTCCAGAATACCAAAATCCAAAGATGCTAAAACTCCTTATACAAAAGTTTTTATTTGCATAAAAACTACGCACATTCTCCTTTATATATTAAATAATCTCTAGGTTTCTCATAATACCTAATACAACACAGATGCTATATAGCTTTTATAGTGTATGTTTTTAACTTAAACTTGTATTTTTTTTCTGAGTATTTTTGATCCATGATTGGCTGAATCCAGAAATATGGAGGGCGAACTGCACTACAATCGGCTGCAACTTCAAACTCTCCATTTCAAAGGGAAAGAGGTCAATGAGAGACAGGACAGATTAATTGACACCAAAAGAGAAGCCATAACAAAAAAAAAAGAACATTTATTTACAATTTAGGATACCAATGGAATAAATGAATATTAACATGATATACACAGAAACAAATTTCTTCTGTCATACTCATGATTAATCTCTCATGTTATCTACACATCTATTTACTTGAATAGTTCTTTTAAATAGTTCTATTCAATATAGTCACTCCCAAGCCATCCTACACTATTCATAGTTGTAAAAAAAAATTCATGATCCTCTCCTTAAATTCCTTTAAGCACTTTATAGACCCTAAAGAATGCCCTCGGATTTCTCTCTTCAACCCAACTGCAT
The DNA here is from genome assembly GCF_000001405.40 of Homo sapiens. NCBI lineage: Eukaryota > Metazoa > Chordata > Mammalia > Primates > Hominidae > Homo > Homo sapiens. The sequence continues at coordinate 88,238,641 of NC_000005.10, forward strand.
CATATGATTTAAAATGCAAACTGTCATTTCTGATCAGTAATATTTTTACATAGGCAATTTATAATTTTAGGTTTTTTTCTATTAAAACAGAATTATTATATATTACAAAAGGCTCATAAAATAATAATTATGCCAAAAGGATAAAATCAATAATCTTATTCGATTGAGATAAATGACAACATGACCTCAAAATTTCAGGACTTAACATTAAAAAAGGTAGATAATCTTAAAAACAAAACAAAACAAAATTGAGAGGAAATGAAACTACCTATAGCAGAAAAGTAACCACTACTAGACTTTCTCGATATCCTTAGAACCTGATATGGCATTACAGGCAGCATTAATTAACACAAAAGTTAATCCATTTACAAAAGCAAGTCAAGATCACAAAGAAAACCAATTTCGTGTTTCTTTTTAAAGGCTGAGCTTACTCTCAAATTATCTATGTATATTACGACACATTCTGATCAGAAAAAGATTTTAAATATAAATCTTCCAATATTAATAAAGATAATCAGCTTTTTGATCTCTCAGGCTTTAGTTTTCACTAGTGAGTATAAATTTTATAGAAATAGATGGAAAACAGAATATGTAACAAGATGAAAATGCATGTACACTAAAATGGGACAAGATTGTCAAGGTCTTTACAGACAAAGGAGATAAGGAAGTGACATTACATCATAAACATAGTTTAGAAACACGCAATTCTCAAGAGAAAGTAAGCTGCCTTAATGTATGTTACTTAGTTTACTGAGACCCTTTTTACTTCAAATTAATGATAATTTGCCCAGCTCATGTTCATCTTTTCCTGATCTTCGAAAATGGTTTTGCTAAGCTAAATCAGTAAACAAGATTGCACAGGCATATTAAGCCTACACAGTAAAAAAATAGTTAAAGATTATTTTCACTTATTTTACACTTTACCAAAACTTTAGCCATTATTTATTTTGTTCCTCAAAATGTGCATTTGTGAACAGCTCTCTCACACATTCAGTATACACACACACACCTGTGTATCACATTGTTCCAAAAAAATTTTAAAGCAGTCTGAATAATATTTTTCAATATTAAACATCAATATGGAAAAAGTAGAAAGCACAGAGAAGAATACAAATAATTTAAAATAGAAAATAAATTATGTGAAGGAAATTTAAGCTTTGTAAATGGGATGACCCTGAATGAAAAGCGTATTTGTCTTGTAGAACATGAAATCATTACTAGGACAGGTATCCATTGTTTTTCTAACTTCAATAGGCCTAACCAAAAGAAAGCAGTAACAAAATTTGGTTATTTAACTGAAATGAACAATTGAAATAAATAGTCATGGTACCAAATTTATCACTTACCTTTCACAACTACACAGGATTTTGGCATGTATTTCTGTGTGCAGACTTTCCTTGATTTCTCCCCACTGTATCTATACCTATACTTTTTTAATCTAATTTTGTTGAGGGGTGGGAGGTACATGTTTCAGCAAGCCTACTTAGCTCCTTTGTGGAAGGAGTAGGGATTGTGAGCCTATGGTGTAGTAGACAAAATTAAAATCCCACAACATAACTTTATCCCCCTCCTTGCTAAATTAAACAGTTTAAAATTCTTTGCAGTAAAACTATGAACTCCTAATATCTGTATTATAATAAATTCTGGACTGAGCCACCAATAGAATATATGCTTTCAGTATTTTCTTCGAACAATAGCAAAAATACTTAAGCACTTGGATTTACAATTTCTCACCCCCTTGTTGATCAAATTTTTTAAAGGTAATTAGAAAAATATGTGGTGTTTTCAGTGCCCACAGACCGAAAAAGAAAGAAGGTAGGGGTGGGAGGACTGAATTCTTGTCCATGACCCTATTACCTTTGTGCTAAACAGATAAACTACTAATATCTCAAACTAAGAGTAATAAGGAAGCTATAATGAGGCAATCCCAGAACTTTGGGAAGCCAAGGTGGGAGGATTTGCTTGAAGCCAGGAGTTGAAGAATAGCCTGGGCAACATAGCAAGGTCTTGTCTCCAAAAAAAAAAAATTAATTTTTTAAGAGAAATAAGAAAGCTAGATTTTTCTTATGACTTCCTTTTGTTAAAGTTTTAGAAACAGTAACTAGGAATTTAATCAGTTTGGTAAACTAGAGATTGAAAGTGTCAGTTGAAATCAGCCTATCCTTGCCTTACCTGCCATTACAGAGTAGCCATCGAGCAAGAGAATAGTGAGGTATAATCTTCTGCATGACACTGGCCATCACCATGGTAACAACCAGCTGTATACCTATCACACCCTGTGTAAAAAAAACAAACAAATTTAATAATGAATGATTTTGGATTTGGGGACATTGCTGGAAAACTTTCTGTACATTTTGAAAATTACATTTTAAGAAAAATGAGTTTACTATTAAAATACATTACTCTCAGCCCTCCATATCTGCAGGCTCCACAACTGCAGATCAAAAATATGCAGGAAAAAAATACAGTAAAAAATAATACAATTAAAAATATACTACAAATTTTAAAAATAGAGTATAACTATTAACATAGCATTTACATTGTATTAGGTATTATAAGTAATCTAGAGACGATTTCAAGTATATAGGAGGACGTGCATAGGTTATATGCAAATACTATGTCATTTTATATAAGGGACTTGAGCATCCTCAGATTTTGGTATGGGGTGGTCCTGGGACAAATCCCCTGTGTAGACACTGAGGGACAACTGTTAAATTCTGGCAATTAGGTATTCAAGATCACATAGTCTAATATAAACTTAAAATGAATTAGTATACACATCTATAATCTATTCTCAAGAAATGTTCTGCATAAATTAAGGATATCAAAATGAAGTGGAAAGCGATTTCTTCATCCTTCTCCAATTTACTCTACACACTAAAAACATTAGCTTGACAAGCTTTAAAAGTAATATGCCTGGTTTTAATCCTAGGTGGTAGTGATCACAAACCATTAACTATACGAAGTGTGATGGCAGAACTGGCCTGAAAGTCACTAATAAAGAAAACTGAACTCATGCTGTTACCACCCACTTCCAGTGAATGGGTCTTAATGTCCAACAATCCTCTTAGTTTACTCTCATCAATCCTTCCCATATTCTCCATGATGGCTAATTCAAACCTTCTTTCCTCTCTTCACATCTCCAACCCCCTTCAAACGTCTAACTCTCCACTCGGTAGAGGACATCTACTTTACAGGAAAAATAGATACAATCAAATGGGAACCCTCTCACTTCCCACCAATAAGCTCACAAAGTCACTTATATCTACATCTGTCTTTTCTTAGACCCCAGAAATAATAGAGCATCTTCTATAGAAAGCAAATCTCTCTATCTGTGCTTTAGAGCCCACTTTCTTTGATTTTCAGGAACTTCCGCTATTGAATAGTCTTCCTCTATCTTCTTTAATCTCTTTTCTATTTTGAATCCTTCCTATCAGCATTGTGTAATACCTGTAAGTCTCTTTCATTTTTTCTAGAGAATAACAGTAATTTCCCCGTTCGACAGCCTTCTCTCAACCTCATATTCACAGCCACTTTTCAAGACTTGTTCTCACTGTTTCCATTTTCTCATATCTCCCACACAGTATCCATCTGATTTCTACTTCAGCATATTCCACTGAAACATATACCATAAAGGAAGATTCACTCCATCTTGACAAATTATTTTTCCTCAACTTAAATCTCAGCAGTATCCTACATGGTACACCATATTCCTTGCTTTATTACTACATTGATGATCAATCCTTTATCCTCCCATTTGCTGGCTCTTCCTCTAGCCAAGTACTCCAAAAATAAAGTTGAATTCCTACCTCAAACCTTCTATACCAAAAAAGCACTTAAAAATGTTAAAAAATTTAAGAAGAAAAAACAGTATGCCTATTGGTTTAAGAGAATGGATTCTGAACCCAAACTGCATGAGTTAGAAGCTGGTCTCCATCACCCACTAGCTACATGACTTTGGACATGTTATTTAATCAAACATTCTGCAAGTCTAGTTCCCCTTCTATAAAATTGAGTTAGAAATTCCATCTACTTCATCAAGCTGTGATTAGAAATTGTGCCTGGTACAGAGTTATGTTAGTACTATTTGTTTTTATTGTCACTGTTATTATCACTACTAGAAGACACAATTTTTCTTATGATGTCAAGAATAAAGACTTTCAAAAAGAGACAGCAGTCTCCTAAATGATAAAAGAAGATCAAAACAAGTTGAAAAAAATAAAATAAAATTTCTGCATGAAGAAACTATAATATAAACAATGTAAAAAGATAAACTGGGGAAAAGTAGAACTCACCAAAAAGAGCTAATTTACTTATTGGATATTATAGAGATTATAAATTAATTAGTAAAAGATCAATTGCCTAATTTAAAAAAGAAAAAATATGTACAGACAGTTCTCAAAAAAGAAATTAAAAATGGTTCTTAAACAGGACCATTTTACTTATTTATTTAACTTTTATTTTAGGTTCAGGGATATGTGTGCAGGTTTGTTATATAGGTAAATTGCATGTCACAGTGGTCTGGGGTACAAATTATTTCATCACCTAGGTAATGAGCATAGTACCTGATAGGTAGTTTTTCAGTCATCACCCTCCTCCTACCTTCCATCCTCAAGTAGGCCCTAGTGTATGTTGTTCCCTTCTTTGTGTTAATGTGTACTCAGTGTTTAGCTCTCACTTATAAATGAAAACATGCGGTATTTGGTTTTCTGTTCCTGCATAAGTTTGCTTAGGATAAAGGCCTCAAACTCCATCCATGTTGCTTCAAAGGAAATGATCCCATTCTTTTAATGGCTGGATAGTATTCCATGGTATATATGTATTTAATACCACATTTTCTTTATCCAGTCTACCACTGATGGGCATTTAGGTTGATTCCATGTCTTTGCTATTGTGAATAGTGCTGCAATGAACATACACATGCATGTGTGTTTACAGTAGAATGATTTATAGTCCTTCGAATGTATATCCAATAATGGGATTACTGGGTCAAATGGTAATCTGTTTTAAGTTATTTGAGAAGTCGCCAAACTGCTTTGCACAATGGCTGAACTAATTTGCATTCCCACCAGCAGAGCATAAGTGATTCCTTATCTCCATAACCTCACCAGCATCTGCTATTTTTGACTTTTTATTAACAGCCACCTTGACTGGTGTGAGATGGTATCTCACTGTGGTTTTGATTTACATTTCTCTAATGATTAGTGATGTTTAGCATTTTTTCATATGTTTGTTGGCCACATAAATGTCTCCATTTGAAAGGTGTCTGTTTGTGTTCCTTGCCCACTTTTTTTGAAAGGTATCTGTTCATGTCCTTTGCCCACTTTTTGATTGGGTTGTCTGGTTTTTGCTTGTAAATTTGTTTAAGTTCCTTATACATTCAGAATATTACACCTTTGCCAGATCCATAGTTTGCAAATATTTTCTCATTCTGCAGGTTGTCTGTTGTTTGTTGATAGTTTCCTTTACTGTGCAGAAGCTCTTTAAAAGAGTATAATTAGGTCCCATCTGCCAATTTTTGTTATTGCTGCAATTGCTTTTGGCATCTTTGTCAGGAAGTCTTTCCCAGGTCTTATGTCCAGGATAGTATTTCCCAGGTTATCTTCCAGGGTTTTTATTGGTTTTTGATTTTAGGTTTAAGTTTTTAATCCATCTGAAGTTGATTTTTGTACATGGTGTAAGGAAGGGGTCTAGCTTTAATCATCTGCATATGGCTTGCCAGTTATCCCAGTACGATTTACTGTGCAGGAAATCTTTCCCCATTGCTTGTTTTTGTTGATTTTGTCAAAGATCACATGGTTGCAGGTGTGTGGCATTATTTCTGAGTTCCCTATGCTGCTCCATAGGCCTATGTGTCTATTTTTGTACCACTACCACAACGTTTTGGTTACTATAGCCTTGTGGTATAATTTGAAGTCGAGTAATGTGATGCCTCCAGCTTTGCTTTTTTTTTTTTTTTTGCTTAGGAGTGCCATAGCTATTTGAGCTTTTTTGGTTCCATATGAATTTTAAAATAGTTTTTTCTAATTCTGTGAAGAATGTCATTGGCAGTTTTGATAGGAATAGCACTGAATCTGCACATTGCTTTGGGCAGTATGGCCATTTGGACAATATTAATTCTTCCTATCCAAGAGCATGGAATTCTTTTCCATTTGTTTATGTTATCTCTGATTTCTTTGAGCAGTATTTTGTAATTCCGGTTATACAGGTCTTTCACCTCCTTAGTTAGCTGTAATCCTAGGAATTTTATTCTTTTTGTGGCTATTGTGAGTCAGATTGCATTCGTGACCTGGCTCTCAACTTGGAGTTGATGTATAGGAATGCTACTGATTTTTATACATTGATTTTTTGTTCTGAAACTTTGCTCAAGTTGTGTGTCAGATTAAGGAGCTTTTGGGCACAGACTGTGGGGTTTTCTAGATATGGAATCATGTCATTTGCAAACGGGATAAAAAGAACAAAACTAGAGGTATCATGTTACCCAACTGTTTTTAAAATGTCTACCAAACCTGACTCAACTATGGTTTTATTTGTGGATATTTTAATGTCTTAAACTCTATCAACTAGGTTAAAGTTCAGTTCATTTTTCTACTGACCTAACATCAAAGGTTGCATTTTTTACCCTTTTCTTTCACATTTCCTATCATTTGAATTTACTATCCTATTTTCTGTGAGTTTCTGATAGAAGTTCTACAATCTCCATTCAATGAATGCCATTACAAAGAACTCTTTCAGGCAGAACAAGACCAAGAAATACATTAGTAAGTATGCCAGAAGGTTGGTCTACCTGAGATTACAGACTTAAAAGCAAGAGATCATTTTGTAGTCATGGGAAGTTTTGTAAACAATGGCAACATCAACCTAGCTTTGAAAGAACTAACAGCATTACACGGAATCTTCAAGGTCATAATTCAGTAAAATCTCTCACAAACATATATAATAATTTATTAAAAGTATATGATTTCTGCTCCTTAACAGCAAAAATTATGTCTCAGTCACAACTACTAGTTATAACTGTTAAATGGTATTTCAGAAAGACTGACCTGGAAGATACATATGAGGCAGTATATAAACTGGGGAAGAGGGCATCTTGCCCAACTCTCCCCTTCCTCCAAATCACCAAACATGATGAGATACTGTTGACAGATATACCTTTAAAGATGTAAATTTATGTTAAGGCAAAAACAAACAAGCAAAAATCAGTGAGCTGGATTGACTAGAATTAGGAAATACCAACTAGCTTTCTGTAATAATCCAGACAAGAAATTATGAAACTTTAAATTACAGTGGTATCTTCAGTACCCAGAAGAGAAATACATTTTAGAGACATTGTTGAAGAACTCAGAGACTGATCAAACATAAAAGCAAAGAAGAAATTAAACAGAATGACCCAAAGAAAGGCAAACATCATAGTACATTCTCAGTGTTAATGTTTGACTAAAATAATGTTCAATACAAAAATGTAACCTCACTCTATCTCTTTACTATGCCATTTCCCTCTTCTTAAATGAGGCTGAAAATAATTTCCCAAAACATCATCTGAATACTATGCTAAATAAATATATTATTATATTCTTCTATATAAGTCAACAGATCTATCCTACAATGTATCTGCTCTTAGGTGACTAAATATGTGCTACTGAAAAAAAAAAGTAACTTTTATACCAATACAGGAATCTAATCTACATAAGTTTTTGGAGAGATAATTTTTAAATTATGTGGAAAATATTTCACCAGTTGCTCCTTTTCATGTAAATTTAAAAACGAATCCTCAGAATATACTTTCAAAATAGCAATCATTTTAGAGAATTATATGTATTATCAATTTAATATATTATTAATGTTGAACTTAAAATCAATTTTTAAGATATTACTATGCAATTGACAATTACAGTGTACATGCCAGGGATTAATGTATTAATGTATAAAGTAGCCAGTTCATTAACTAAGAAACACAATCATTTAAAATTCAAAAACAAACCATTCTAATAACCTGTCTTCACCAACCAATTTAGTGTCACTGTATAAGTTTATACAAAAGCAGAACTTTGAAATGTTCAAATATCAAATATCCTGAATATTCTTCATAATTTTTAATTAAAGGAGAATGCTTGAATAAATTTATCCATAATCTTAAACATAAATTTCACAATAGAAAACTGGTCAAATGAGCAGAGATGCAATGAAAATACCAAGTCTATCATGGCTGAGGTCTCAAACACACAACCATATGGGTCATTGATTCAAGTAGCCTTAATGGTTTTATTAACGCTTCAAAACAATAACTGACCAAAGAGATGGTTTCTGTCTGGATTCAATGCCTCTAGGCACTGATTCTCTTGATAACTGGAACTGGGGAAAGCCATTTAAAAAAATAGCTCATAAGCACCCAAGAAGGGTGAAACATTGGGGTAACTTAGGTTTCAACCTTTCCACATCTATTAACCTAAGGCCATGAAGAGCAAGAAAAACTTATCTGCCTTTAGTCTCTAGAAGAATGATCCTTACAATTGTTGTCAGTAATAGTTTCTTGGAAGGTTACAAAAATTCTTAACAAGAAAAATTAAACAATTCTCCAAGAAATAAAATGTACCCAAATAACAGTATTTTGTCTTGCTTTATTAATACTGAAAATAAAACTCTAAAAACTTAAATACAAACGTGCTGCAATTTATAAATTCAAACTTTGAGTACTGTGTCAACCTCAAGAGTTGACATTTATGTTTCATTAAACTAGCTCTCCTGCTGACAGATCAAAACAAAGCATACATTGTTTACTACTGAAAGGCATATCTGCATATATACTTGGGACTCAGACCACCCCAAATGGTTTCAGTTATCTCCCTAAATATGTTAGAAAAGAGAAAATAAAAAAGAGGATATTATATCCCAATGACCTTCCTATTCATTTGTTTCTTGACTGTTTACATGTTTTAGAGACAGCAAGATATGTTGAGACAGACTTCTTAGGGATGCTCATATAATTTATACTCCAAAAGAAGATGTAAACTGCCATTTCAACCCAAGTTCACATAAAACTTAGAATTCACACTAGATGTATTTAAACAAACCATCTTTGAACAATTTATGTATAAGGAAAACAGGGTCCAAACAACAAACATCACTCAACTACCCGGTTACTGATGTATCTGGCACCCAGACAATTTCCAACTCAATGCTTTTTTCACCGGTCTATTTGGTGTATTCAATGAACATTTATTGAACAACAAACTACATGTGTGGGGCACTGGACCACTAACAATGGGGGAAAAGCACACATTACAATACAATTGTAAAGGTACTGCAACTGTAATTGCTTACAATACAATGTAATAAGACAGGAAGAGGATTCTATGAGAAATTATTGAGAGCAAAAAGGTGTAAAAGGGCATTTTGGAAGGTAATGCATGAGTCAAGACACAGTGGACTGAAGTTTTGAGAATCATCGGTGATATCTGCCTCACATGGAAAGATCCAGATAAAAATCAAGGATCCCATTTTTACACCAAATCCTGGGTCCCCAAAAGACAGAAACACTACAGAACAAAATAGTGAATTTAACTGCAAGGACATTTTTCCAAGGCTGGTGGCCAGCCCCAAGCCAATCAGCCCATTCTTCCCACAGGAGTCTTACTTCTCAGCGGGAGGTAGGATGTTTCCATACCTTCCAGGTGGTCAAAAGCATGCTTTTCTTATCTAAACATGCAAAAACCTGAATATCCCCTACGTAACTGCCATTAGCCATCCCTAAAAGTATATCGCCTACCTAGCTATTACACACCAAGCTAAAAGTTCTCTCATAATGCCAAGTAATTTCTGATGTCCCCAAAAGTAAAAAAAGTCAGATAACACTACACAAAACAGAGCAGCAACTTTGATTCTGAGAGGGATCGCTCTGCTTACAATTCTTGCGGTTCCATGAGGAAAACAGAGATTTCTTCCAAAATTGTGGTACCTCTGTTTTTCCCAGGGAGACCCAGGCTGCTAGAAATTGCCTTAGGTTATCTCATGTGGGCATCATGGGTAGTAAGAGGACAGACAGAAGCAAATGGAGAAACAATTCAGTCGACTGAGAAAAAAAAAAAAAAAAACAACTTTTCCTCAAAAAAACAAGATCCAAGAAGACAAAAAAGCTTATAAAGGCCTTTTAAATATATGTATAGCTTACCTACCAGCTTTTAATTAACCTGACTTTTAACCATAGAGCTCTTTTAAGGAAATCCTTTTAAATCTCTGTTTACCACACTCTAGCCAGGACAAACAGATGACACCTCTGGCTTTTAAGCCTTCTTTTTTTTCCCCAGTAAGCCTTAACTAAGATTATGACTTAACCACTGACACATTAGGTATTTCCAAAGAAATGGAAAGTGGTTTTACAAATGGCAAAAGTAGCACAAAGAAAGGAAAGTTTTGCCACGCAAACTGGGTACAACTCACATTTAGGTCTGGCCACATTCTCCAGAGTCTCAGTTTCCCAGCTAACCATCTACATACAAAGGCCTCAAAGCCCTGTATGCCCTCCACAGAAAGAAAGCAGGAAATGGAAAGCTGTCCATGGGAGGGAAAAGGGTCAATAAGAGGCAAAATGTCTCATAAATGTCAAACCAGAAAGGACTCAGTCCCTAAGCCAGGTATTGAATCCAGGCCATCATCACAAAAGGTAAAAGCCTTAGCTACTGAGCTTCAGTGCTGGGCAGTCACCATTACTCTTCCCAGAAGGAGCCTAGCACAGTCATTTTTGAGCTTGCAAAGCATTTCTAACTGCACAAGGGGATTCTCAAGGCTAGTCATGACACTGTTATTTAACCTCTTTTCAATTGTTTGGAATACAAGATTTCTAAAATCTTTTTTTCTTTCAATCTTGCACGTAGTTCCAATGGCAACTCAACCCAAAAACTTTTTTTAAAACTCAGATCGTAATTTTCCAGGTTTTTACCATATAAGCAAGAGGTATTTCCAGAGAAGGAGTAGAGGAAGCATCCCTACTCCCCAGAATTATTATCCCCAATAATTCTCTCAGAAAGAATGGGCTTAAGATAGCAAAAGACAATAAAAGGCCCATAGGGATGGGACCTTTTAAGACAAAACTCACTGAAGGACTGGATACACTGGGGCCGAAAGTGTGCTGGCCTTTCTCAGACTTCCAGTCCTTTCAGATCAGCTGTTTCACATGAACCCCAAAACTCCCACCTCCAGATGGCAGAGACCAAGGGAGTATCCCCACGTGGTCACAAAGTCAAGCTCCAAGGACACAGAAGAAGACAAGAGGGAAACCTCATCCCATTTTTGCCTCAGGAACCCACAACAAAGTTTTAACTAACCAATCTGCAGGGCCAGCTGGACCAGCAGGCTTGCAGGGGTCCTATATCTATGTTCTATCCTATGGTATCTTTCACCATGATAGAACAACACAGAAAGACACCAGATTCATTACAGCCTAAGACTAGACTCATAAATCTTTTTTCCCATTAATCAAAATCTTGCAAAGGAGACAAACAGTGATTTTTACCATTCACTCTGCCAGTTTGCACAGAGAGAGAGAAAGAGAGAGAAAGAGAGAGAGAGAGAGAGAGACCGAGACCAGAAGCCTGGCTGGTAAGAAATTCTTACCTTTTTGTTAGCTTGCCAGGTTTCTGGTTCCCTCTTCCTGAGTGGCTTTGGTGACCCTGCATGCTCTGCTATAGCTGTGGGGGCCAAGACGTGTTACAAAAGAAAAATCATCCTTTTTCCATTTCATAGAACTATAAAAAGCCTATCATTAATATTTCCCATTCCAGCCAGAGTGATATACATATAAGAACACAGACAAAGACAGACAAGAGGCCTCTCAGAACCAGAATCCTGACCAGAAAAGTGTTTTTCCAAACAAGCCCCTGTTCTCCATCTAAGTGGAGAGAAATCTCCCTAAACCAAGACTCTCTGTACAATCTAAGGAGAGCTAGGTTGGCCCAAAAGGCGCCAACCAGAACAGGAGAAGGAAGAGGATGTTGGTAGTGCTTTGTACACTCACCAGCCTAGTTTAAAGACATCTTCCAGTAACTGTTTCTTCACTGCAATTAGGCCCAAGCACTATGGGTTGACCGCGTCTCATTGGCAGAGACCGTATCAGAGATGGCCCTCAGTTCGAGACAAATAAGAAACGCCCGAGCTCACTCCCAGTTCCATTGTACCAGTGGAAGGCTGAGAGATAGCAGACAGGCACCCAGAAGGGCAGATCTTGGACAAGCCCCTAAATGTGTAATTGCCTGATGGGCTCTTCCTGACTGCTGCATAGACAAAATCAACTTACAGAGATCACGGCACTGCAATAAAGAGTTTAATTAATGCAAGGCCAACTACATGGAAGAAATGGCTCAACTGACTGAGTGAGACTGATTTGAGTGAGAAGCGACTGATTTGAGTGAGACTGATCACTGCCCAAAGTCTCAGAGGCTAAAGCTTTTGTGGACAATTTGGTGGACAGGGGGGCTAGGGAATGGAGACTGCTGCTTAGTTGGGGATGAAATCATAGGGGTAAAGAAAACGGTCCTCATATACTGAGTCTGCCTCATATACTCAACTGGGCCACAGGACCAGATGAGTCATGAATCATGGGTCTGCATGTGGTTAGTCTGAAAAACATCTCAAAAAAACCAATCTTAGGTATTACAATAGTGATGTTATCTGTAGGAGTAACTGGGGAAGTCACAAATCTTGTGACTTCTGGCCACATGACTCCTGAGCAATAAGGGATTATAAAAACTACACCTACATCTTAACAGAACTCAAGCTCCTCCCACAATTCTAATCTTGCGGTCTTTCACTAGTCTTAAAAGGCAGTTTCAGATTGTTTCAACAGGGGGGATTAGTTTTAGGAAGGAACTATTATCATCCTAGCTTCAAAGTTAAACTATAAAATAAATGCCTCCCAAGGTTAGCCTGGCCAATGCCCAAAAATGACCTAGAACAGCCTGGAGGTTAGAAGCAAGATGGGAGTCAACTATGTCAGATTTCTCTTGCTGTCATAATTTTGCAAAGGTAGTTTCAAAAAGAACTATATATCAATATAACAAATGATTTATGATCTTAAACAATGTTAAAAATCACTGTAAATCCAAATTATGTCGCCACAGAAATTATATCTATAAATAGAAAAAGCATATGAAAATTCAACTAACAAGAACATGCTGTCTATCTAATATACATCCAGTATCTTCCTGGCTATCATCAGGCACTTGGCACAAAGATGTTTGTGTTCACTGTTATATCCCAAACACTTAGAGCAATGTCATTTAGAATAGTTGATGGCTCATAGTAGCACACTTGATTACTTGTTGAATGAATGAACAGGGCTACTATAAAAGAATTTGTCTTAACAGAGCTTAAAACCCAAGATTAACATATTACGTAACAATAAATATACATATTAAAATAATATTTGAGCACAAAATTGCACGGTACTATGAATATGGGTTGTAGAATTTTTTTAAATTGGATAAAGTTTCATAGAGTAGATGAAACCTAAAGACAGAAACTAAAATCACAGAAAAGTAAAGAGAAGGGAATTTCAGGCTAAATGACAAGTGTGAACACAGAAGGTATTTGCAACAGCAAAACGCCTACCTCAACCAAAGCAAACTTACTAAATAAAAAGGAACTGTGGAAAATAGGATGAAGACTGAATTTTAGCTCCTTGAGTCTTTAAAACCAAGAGAAGGTATTTAGCTGAAATGTTTAATAGAAAGATCACCTAGGACTTCTAAACAGGCAGGGGCAGGGAGCTGAAATAATTCAAGTAACACATAATGAAAATTAGATATAGCGATATATTAATCAATTAAAGATAAAAACTAAGAATAAGATAAATGTCGTTGAAACAAAAGGAAAGAACAAAAATCTACTTCAGAAGAAAATCAAACTCTGAATGTGACTGAACATAAAGTATAACAACTGTAGAATAAAACTGAGGAATGTTTCAAAGGTTATTTCAAGATGTTTTAGTTTGGATGATTGGTAGAATACTAGAACCACTGACGGGAAAAGGTGTAGACTGAAAGAAACTCACGAAGAAGGCTGACAAGCTTCAGATAGGCCTCCCAAGGAAAGCACCTTGGGTGCATCCTCGGCTTTTCCGAACACACGGCAAATAGGCTTTTGCTAATACATAAAGGATGATCAATCTTTATGTATTGGAGACTGGTTGTAATAAGTTTGTAAGAGTTTTGTCACTTAACATACAGTGAAACAAACTATGAAGTGGATCAGATATTTAGGTTTACTAAGTGTTCCATTCGATTACTGTCTTAATGATATACTGGAAGCCAAATTAGAAACAGGATGCTTGGTGAGTAGTGATTTAGGGCAGAAAGCAGCAAATATCATTAAAGCATATTTCATTCAAGGAGTGATGAAAGTCTGATGAAATATACAAAATACCACACTAGAGGGTAGAATACTCTCAAACCCCAAATAATTTTGGGTAAATTACATTCAATTCTAGCTATTTTTATTGATACACTCTTTCTTTAGATAAAACCTATCTAAAAATTACTCTCTTTGGATATGTAAATACCATTAATTTGGCTACAATCTAGTCTACCATGGGTCCTGGAGGGAATACTTAACTTATTTCTTTCATCGTATGTGGATTTTATCAAACACTTTAAGTGTTAATCACTCCTCACTGCCACCTACAAATAAAATATAAGTGGTATGGTAGAGATCAATCTCCAGTGTTATGGGAACACTCCAATAGAGTGATTAAATATACAAGGGAAGTCTATGAAATACTGGTTCACAGAGGTGACATCCGAACTAGTTTGACAAGGTTAAAAAGAGTATTCCACTATCAGAACAGGAAAGGAAGAGAAGGTCAGGCAGTTATACCTACCCGTACAAAGACAAGGAGAACAAATGGCACAATCCAGAAATAATGTGAAGTTCCACATGGCTAGACTTTAGTATGGGTTGCACACAATGGATTCTTCTGCAAGTACTTGGAAATAATCCCAGGATATAAAGCCTGGAAGTAACCAAATCAAATATGTTTGGAGAAATGACTCTGCAACTATAATGGGAAAAATAAATTGAAGGGGTAAAAGTAATTGGAAGCAAGGAACTATATTAGAAATCCACTGAAATAGTCCAAGCAATACCATAAAAGCTTGAAGCAAAACAGCTTTTAAATCAAAAGCAAAATTTTTAAAATTAAAACTTTTAGAGAAAAAATAAATTAGGCATGAGATTAGTAATTATCTCTGTAAGTTTCAGTAAAATAAGACTTAGGTGATTATGTAAAGATAAAATGGAAATAATGGGCATAATCATTGGATAAACTAAGCAATAAAAGAAAAATCTGACAGTTACTAGAATACATATATATATAAAATATATTTATTATAAGAGAGAAATGTACATGCTTGAAGCAAAAGGGAAGGAACCAACATTAGGGAGGTGCTGAAGAGTTAAATGTGGGAATTTAACTGCTTAAGGGTCAGAAATAGATGAGATCAAAAACATAAAAAAGTTTATCTATTACAAGATCTCATATATCCTACTGAATTGAAAGCACATATAGGTATGGAGATGTATTAATTCTGAAAACAGAGGTCTCACAGTTTATATGAATTTGATCAGGGTAGTTGAAAAACTAGGTCAACGTTCTAGATGTCCTACCTTCCAGTAGATAGAGTTATTTGAAGAACTTATTATAGATTATTTCAAATTTCAAAATTCAAAATTCTCAGATCATCTCCTAAGAACCACAATGGGGTAAGGAGTTGAGCTGTAAAAGAAAGGAGAGGAAGAAGGGACAGCTAAAATTTGTGAAAATTTTGACAAAAGAGGAACATAGAATTGATTGAATGATTGCCAAGCACCTGCAAATCTGCATGATTCAGCATATTAGGTAAAAACATCAGAAAAATGATTGATTTAGCAGGATGTGGTGGCTCATGTCCATAATCTCAACACTTTGGGAGGCCAAGGCAGGAGGATTACTTGAGGCAAGAAGTTCAAGACCAGCCTGGGCAACATAGCGAGACACCCTTCTACCAAAAGTAAAAACAAAAAAATTAGCTGAGTATGGTGGCATGTGCTTGTAATCCCAGCTATTCAGAAGGCTGAGGTGAGAGAATCACTTTAGCCCAGTAGGTTGAGACTGCAGTGAGCCATGAGTGCACCACTGTACTCCGGCCTGACAAAGTGAGACCCTCTGTAACTGTAAAAAAAATTTTAAGGGAAAAAAAAAAAAAAGATTGATCATCATGGGACATTATACAGGTTACAAGAATAGGAAAATCCAGGATGATTAAGTGGGTAATCAAAAGAACCAAAGAAAGCACCAAAATGGACAAGGTTTGAAAGAAAAATTTGAAGAATAACCACACCAAGATCAGGGTCTTCAAAGGAGGAAAAAAATGTCATGTCATAAGATAAAAACCAGAATTACCACTCTGGCAATGTGACTAAGAGGTCTAGAAACTTGAGAAGAAAAGTGTGATGAAACTATGTATGTGGAACTGATGGACCCAAACTGGGTTTTTGAAGATGGTTATTTCCAATAGGTTCTTTGGTAGGTCTGAGGACTGTCTAATCCAGAAGAGAAATTCTCCCATATAATGCCAAAGCTGATAAAAGCAGCACAAAACAATCATGAAGAGACCAGCAGACTTCCTTCCCATAGAGCATCTCTGGTATCCCACTACTGTGGCCTTCACTGGTTTTCTAACATACCTGCAGCGCTTACAGACACAGTAAACTGGACTGGAAGTAAAAAATGGGGGCCTATACTAAATATGAAATGAAAGAACAGAAGAATTTGGTAGAAAAGCAGCTAAAGAATAAGAACACCTATTGATATCTAATGTACATTTATTGGTTGAATCCTATGAAATTGCTAATACTTAATTGTCTTGACCTACAAAATGGCAATTTCATATAGTTCATCTTAATATTACAAATAGAATTATAAAACATAATTGTCAACAACTATAATTTGAACTCAGATTTATCTATTTCCAAATTTAATTGTTTACAGAATTAATTGGGTTTGTCAGCACTGTTTTACAGCATAAAATACATTTTTAATTTCCTTAAAAAGTGAAAGCATAATTTTTTTGCCATTTTCTAAATCAGAAAAACAAGAAATTTAATGTCCTTCCAAAGGTCAAAAAGCATAAATCCTCAATACCTCAGTACAGCTTTTTGACCCTTTCAAAGGTCAAAAAGCATAAATCCTCAATGCCTAGATACATTCTAAATTTTTTAAAGATTAGAACTACAACAGTAGAATGTGTGAATTTGATGTAACTATCTTAAAAAATACCAGCTCCAGACTTTCGGATAAAGATGACAATATAAAGTCATTTATCAGATTTTGATTAAATTTAGAAATAAAAAGACATTTTCCGCAGTATAAATGACAAGGCAAATGGAAGACCAACAACAAAGAGGGAAAGGAAAAAGATACTTTTTCATAACAATAGAAAACATTCTAATTAAACACAAGTCACAAACCATTTTAACATATTGGTGTTCAAATTAACAGTTGTTTATTTTAAAAGATAACTTTCCACAGTTAAAAGAGGTTGAATAAATAATGTAATATCTCATATAAAGCAATGCCATAGTCATTAAAGTGTTGACAAGGAACAAAATATTCTTAAACATATTAACAAGCCACTTAATCTCTAGCCAAGACATGCATAAATGTTTCATTACAGTACTAAAAAGTAACAAATAAAAGGTTCAATGGAAGAAAGCTTCCTAAATTCTGTCACTTTTCCTTAAGAGTATTTTCTGACATTATAGAAAATATCTCTACAGGTATGTATTCAAAGAAGTCATTAGCCAAAATCAATTAATGAAAAGACATGTTTGACATGTACAAATCAGTTTGTTTAGACCAACTGCTACTGAGTCTTCAACATTCATGTGCACTATAAAACGTTCATTGACTTTCCAACTTCTACTAAAGAACATATGCGTAACTCCAAAATAACCTGTATCATGCTCAATTGTGACCACTAACTTAAGGGTCTCTCCCCCTTGAAAATGGCATTCATCTCATTTCTTCAGCCTCCATTCCCAGGAGGGTGGGAGATGGCAGATATTAAACACAAGTTGAATAAATCTTTACCTTTTGATAAAATAAATGGATAAAGCATAAATTTTTCCCACTGTTCTTCATTGCATTCAGGTTCCTACTGTGTGTCACACACTAAACTTTAGCATAAAGAAAATTATTCACTTTAAGAGTAAAAGACAATATATTGTGCTTTCTCCTTTCTCAAAGGAAGGAGTACATCTGTTTTTACAAGACAATCTCCTCATTTTAATGAGATAGCTTTGTGTTACAAATACTTTCCTTTTAAGACCAGGTGCAGTGGCTAAAGCCTGTAATCTCAGGGCTTTGGAGGCAGGCAGATCACTCAAGGTCAGGAATTCCAGACCAGACTGGCCAACGTGGTGAAACCTCCTCACTAGTAAAAATACAAAAATTAGCCAGGAGTGGCAGCGACAGCCTGTAATCCCAGCTACTTGGGAGGCTGAGGCACGAGAATCGCAAGACTGGGAGGGGAGGTTGCAGTGAGCTGAGATCACACCACTCACTGCTCTCCAGCCTGGGCAACAGAGCAAGAATTTGTCTCAAAAACAAAAACAAAACAAAACAAAACAAAAACACCTTTCCTTTTAACAAACTAAAAATCAAAACTTTGCTCAAAGTGCACTGAGAAAGCTTCATTAAATAAATTTAATATAAAAATTTCAGCTTAATTAAATTTTAAGCCATACACAAAAGCCAAGAAAATTTGTTAAGTTAGGTAAATGCATTCATTGTGAATATTTTTAATGCATTAAATAATTAAACACACTAGGATCGAAGTAGTTCCGTCACTAACTAGCTACACAGCAATTAGAAAAGCTCTCCCTGGGATTCTTTCCTTATCTACAAAATGACAAGAGCTGGCAAATGATCTCCAAAATACCAAACAGATCATGTTGTCTATGATTGCAATATTTTAGCTAAATACACAATTAATCATTGGCATTCACAGATTTAACATTTCTAAACCACCATCAAAGCCTGTGTAATTATTGCTAATGGCAATGAATAATAATCCATTCTCATAAAGATTAAATAAGCTAATATTTATAAGACCTGAAAGGAAATCAGAGTTCCAAATTAAAGGAGTAAACCTAGCCTACCACCCATCATATTCACCTCAATTAGTAGTTTGTGGGAATTTCTCTTAAGAAAGACTTGTGAATGCCAACAGTTCCATAGTTTTAAAAAAGATCTATCTCTCAGATACGTGGCCAATTCTCTCTTTTTAAATGATTCATTTTCTTTATAACCTGAACATTTTCTTTTCAGTGGCTATCAAGAGAAAGAACTATGATGACATTAAACACTTCTGATAAGAATGATTAAGTGGGAAGCTCTCTATTAAAATCAAGAATAAGCATTCAGTAAATGTTAGTTGAAATCAAATTAGAAAATAGTTTTAATCATCAAGAACTAAATGTCTCAATTAAAGTTATGACCTGCAGTACAATGAATGTTTTTAAAGCGTGCTTATCTGTCCCTATTGACTAGAAAACATATTTTGTTGGCAATTATTTCTAATTCCAGTTATCCAGGCTCTTTTCTACTTTTTCGTAAAGATTGTGATAAGAAAAGACTGCTATATTCGACACGCAATATCCTACCCAAACAACTAAACTGTCTAGTAATAACTGATACAATGAAGCTTCATTGTCCTGATGTTAATTAATCTCACAGAGGAAGGGAGGAAGGAGTAAGTATGCATTAATTTAAACAAATAAAATTCTAGTAATAAATTTAACCATCAATAAAAACAAACCTTTCAAGAAAAAAATGTCATGCTTTCTCTCTTGACCAAGGGCGAATGCAGAAACAAATGGTTCTAGTTATGGAACACGAATACTTAAATACATATCCCCATAAACCATAAGAATTTGATCATTTATATTCATTGTAAAAAGGCCCAAAATCTCCAGAAATAACAAAAATACTCAATAATAATCAAGTTAATGAAGTTTTGGCTTCAGTAACAGAACCTTGCTGTATGACTTTTTCTTTTAGAAAAAGAAAGCAGGAAACTATGGCATTGCTTTTTCTAAGTGGTTCAGCACATTGGGGCAAATGGTGGCAATCACCAGGTAAAAGATAACAAAAATCAGCTAAGCGCTGTGTAAAGGGCAGACATAAGATAGCTATATAAACAAATAATTTAGATTAGTATTTCAAAGGGCTTCTAATTACTTATCACAAAGATAAAAGTATTAATCTTACTTTAAAAACAGCCATAGCCTTACAGTATCAAGTACTCACGGCATTAACTATTGGCAATCTATAATCATACATTTATAAAATGGAGCAGAACAGCTTGTTGAAGTTCCTTCTTCATAAGCCACTTCTACTAGTAGAGAAAAATCTCCCTTTCTCTTTGCAGTGCCACTTACTATTTATCTCATCTCCTCTTCACAATCCGAACCTCTCTACTTCCAAAAATTTACAACATCCCATCATTATTGTCTCTTTCCCCTAAAGGATTTCTGTGATAAGTAAGTAAATAAGTAAATACCTGTGAAGCAGTAACATGGGAATATGACCTATGAAATTCTCCTAGCAGTAAAATCCCTTAAAGGAACTATGTCTGCTGAATGTATGGAAGGGAAGGCAAGGTACTCTACAAGATTACATTCTTCTTTGCAACCTGAAGAAGAAACAAAGTTCTAATTGAAAATAGCCCAAGTGGAAAGAAGAGTCCTCAGGAAAAGAACTGGGATAACCGTGAGATAGGCTTGGAACAAGTGTAACTCACTAAGTGCTTACACTGATAAGAAATTCAAGTTCAGCACAACTCATCCCCAATTTCTCAAATTGCTCTTCAACTCATCAGTGTTACTAGAAGTGCATCTTCAGGCCTAAGAGAAACTAAGGCTTTGGTGTAAAGCAGTGCCTTCAGTGGATGCAGTTAAGGTAGAAGAAATATGAAAGAATCTTATGACTTACTGCAGCAGTGGCAGATGTGTTTGACACCTAGTTAAAAATGTCAATCAGTACTGCTATGCCGGATAGTAATGATTAATTGCTTGAATACTATAGAGATATATTAGGTGTTAACTAGGTTCGGGAAACATTTTCTAAAAATATCGTTACTAATTATGATTTCTATAGGAAAATGTTTTTGAATTTCAAACACTAGATTGAACTTGTGAAATTCAATTTTTTCATAAGTGAATCTTACTCAAGACAAACAAAAGACTGGCACAACAGCACAAGGGACAAGAAGCCTGGGTTAAAAGTCAAATTCTGTCATCTCTAGCTGTGTGATTTTGGAGAAGTTACTCCAATCTTGCTGAGCCTCCATTTCTACATCTGTAAGATAAAGGTTTAAAAAAACAGAATTTAACTACTTCATAAAGATTTAAATGAGTCAATATAAGTGGAATGTAGAATAATACCTGGTAAATATTAAATGTAAAATAAATGCAGCTGTTATCGTTATTGAGGAAAAGTAAAATTCAATTTCTTACCCAACGGACATACTTCTACTTACCCTCAAAAATCTAATCCAAACCTTTCTTTATGAAACCCTTCTTGAATTCCATAGAAACTGAATATTCCTCTCTTTGTATCCCATAATGTACATTCAGCTAAATGTTCAACAGTATTTCCAAATTTACATAATCAGAATCACAGAAACTTGAATCAAACTATAAAAATCATAGAATTCTAGTTCAAGCACACTTTCAATGCCATGTATTTATTTTTACTTTTCAAATAGTCATTTTTAGTTTTTATTTTTGTGTTTTATAAGAGTCAGGGTCTCACTCTGTTTCCCTGGCTGGAGCACAGCAGCCTGATGACAACTCACTGCAATCTCAAACTCCTGGGCTCAAGTGATCTACCCACCTCAGCCTCCCAAGTAGCTGGAACTACAGGTGCTTGCCAGCACGCCTCACTAATTTTTAAAACCTTTTGTAAAGAAGAGGTCTCACTATGTTGTCCAGATTGGTCTCAAACTCCTGGCCTCAAGTGACCCTCCTGCCTTAGCCTTCCATGAGCCACCATGCCAGGCCACTTTTCACAAAGTCATTTTTAGAAATAGCAGCATACAAGCACATCGATTTTCATAATGATTAAGAATTTTTTTAATTGAAATAAGATACTGAGATCCCAAGTCTCAAAGTAGCAAAAGTTTAAGTTGTTTCAGGTTTTCTAAATCTTATAGTTTATAGCCAAAACACAAAAGATATTTAACCTACTTTAACAACAGAACTACTACGTCTGTTTTATATAATTAAAAGATGTGAACATAAAAATCATTGGGTAAGTGAGTTGTAATTGTATTCTCTAAGAACTGCAATAACTTAAAAGACTAAAAATAGGTGGCATATCCTGGAACCAATAAGCAATTATAGCAAGGTTGCAGGATACAAAGTTAATATACAAGTCAATCACTTTCCTATATATTAGCAATGAACAAGTGAAATTTGAAATTAAAAATACTATTTACATTAGCACCCAGAAAAAAATGAATACTTTGGTATAAATCTAATAAAATATGCCAAGACCTGTATGAAGAAAACTACAAAACTCTGATAACTGAATTCAAAGAATAAATAAATGGAGAGATATTCCATGTTCATGAAAAGGATATTACCAAGGAGGCAGTCCTTCTCAACTTAATCTACAGATTCAATGCAATTACAATCAAAATCCAAGCAAGTTATTTTAAGGGTATCAAAAAAAAAGAAAAGAAAAGAAAAGAAAGAAATGTTCTAAGGTTAATTTGAAGAGGCAAAAGACCCAGAAGAGCCAACACAATACTGAAGAACAAAGTTGGAGGACTGACATTAACCAACTTCAAGATTCACTAGAAAGCTAGAATAATCAAGACTGTGTTATTGATGAAAGAAGAAATAAACAGATCAACAGAATAGAATAGAGGGGCCAGAAATAGACCCACATATAGTCAAATGATCTTTGACAAAAGGGCACAGGCAATACAATGGAGAAAAAAAAAAAACAAACAAATTTCACCAAATGGTACTGAAACAACTAGACATTCATGTGCAAAAAAAAAAAAAAAAAAAAAGACTCTAGACACACACCTTACACTCTTCACAAAAGTTAACTCAAATAGAACATAGACCTAAATGTAAAACACAAAGTTATAAAAGTCCTGTTAGATAACATAGATGGCTGTGGACAAGGCAACAACTTTTTAGACACAAAACCAAAGGCATGATCCATGAAAGAAAGAGCTGATAAGCTGGACTTCATTACAATTAAAATCTGCTCTGTAAAAGACAATGTCAAGGAAATGAGAAAACAAACCAGACCAGGGGAAAATATCTGCAAAAGACATATCTGATAAGGATTGTTATACAAAATATAACAAACTCTTAATTAAAACTCAACAAGAAAACAACCTGATTTTAAAAATGCACCAAAGACCTTAAAAGACACCTCACCAAAGACATACAGACAGCAAATAAGAATATGAAAAGATGTTCCACATCATGTCATTAGGAAAATACAAATTAAAATAAGGAAATACCATTATACACCTATTAGAATGGCCAAAATCCAGAACACTGACAACACTGAATGCTGGCAAGAATGTAGAGCAATGGGAACTCTGATTCATTGCTGGTAGGAATGCAAAATGATATAGCTTCTTTGGAAGACAACTTGTGGTTTCTTACAGTCTTACCATATGATCCAGCAATTGCACTTGCTGGTTTTTACCCAAAGGAACTGAAAACCTTTGTCCACACAAAAAACTGTACATACAGTTTATATCACCTTTGTTCATAATTGCCAAAATCTGGAAGCAACCAAGATATCCCTCAGTAGGTGAATAGATAAACTGTAGTACATCAGACAATGGAATATTATTAAACCCTATAAAGAAATGGACTATTGAGCTATGAAAAGACAGAGATGAACCTTAAATGCATATTCTTAAGTGAAAGAAGTTAATCTGAAAAGTCTACATACTGTAAGATTCCAACTATATCCAAACCCATAGAATGTACAACACCAAGAAT
The DNA here is from genome assembly GCF_000001405.40 of Homo sapiens. Classification (NCBI taxonomy): domain Eukaryota; kingdom Metazoa; phylum Chordata; class Mammalia; order Primates; family Hominidae; genus Homo; species Homo sapiens. The sequence continues at coordinate 88,262,710 of NC_000005.10, forward strand.
GAACCCCAAAGTACACTATGGACTTTGGGCAATTATGGTGTGTCAATGTAGATTCATCAATTGTAAGAAATTTACCACTCTGGTGAAGGATGTTGATAATAGTAGAGGACATGCATGTGTGGGAGCAGGGAATATCTAGGAAATCTCTTGTATCTTCCTCTTAAGATTTCTGTGAACCTAAAACTACTCTTTAAAAAGTCTGCAAAAAAATTTTAATGCAACACAAAAATAAAATCTATTACATGAAATTTCATATAATCGATTACTATCTTTAAAAAAACACATTTCTATTATTTTTCTGTTTACTGTTTGGAAAGTTGACAGTAAATAAATTTATGGAAAGATTTATATAATTAAAAACAGTATGAGCTCTTTGCTTGCTTTTTAGATACACTGTACTACAATAATTTTACAGGAGCAGTTAATAAATATGGGTACCAGGCACGTGGGCTGAATATCTATGCATCCAAATTTGCTACAATGTCACCTCCTCATTGAAGCTTTCCCTACATGCCCTATCTAAAACAGGCATTTTCTATCCCCTTACTCTCTCTGTTAAATGTATCACAACTGACATATTACATGCCCATTTCATCATGAGATCATCAGCCTCTCCCAATAAATGAGGGCCGAGATTGTCTCTGTTTTTAAGCAGTTATATCCCTGTTGCCAAAAACAGTACCTGGCATACAGATGGTGAATAAAAACAAATGAATGATTTAAGAACTTTTTTTAAAGTTTGGTGAAACAAAAGGTACAGTCATTTCAAAGCCAAAAGAATATTCATTTCACCATGACTGTAAGGATTTCTTTTTTTCTATAACTCAAGAGTAAGTGGTATACAAAGAGTTTACACTTAAGTTTATTTCTAAAAAGTTCCTTTGAGACAAGCTGTATTCATTCTTACTAACATGGGCAAAACCACGTTAACAACAGTCAGAAAATAATAACTTCTCTCTTAGAAATGAACACTTTAGAATATCTTCTGATTTTCTGAAATCAACTTAATGCACTTTAAGCTTTTGTTGCGGAGAAAACAAAAGAACCAATTTTTTTTAAGTGGATCAAAGCCCAAAGTATCAACTAATCTTAAAAACCAACCTTGAACCAACCAAATATTAACCAAGAGAAAAGTCAGTCTATAACATTTTTTCAATTAGGCCTCTGTAGTAAGAAAGCAGTGAAGGAAAGCAGTCAGAAGAAAATAAAGTCAGAGAACTGAGAAGAAACCTGAATGTTTCCTCTAAAAGTTAACCTTAGTGGTTAACTGCTAATACATGACCGAATCCATCCTTCAAACTGCGCATGTCAAATTACCACTCAGCTGGCAAAAGGACCTCCAGTATCTCCATCAAAGTCTCTTATACTTGCATTTCTCTCTAGTAGGGGTTTAAGGTCCATCAATTTAACTCTTAACTGCATCCAGTGCTAGAGTAAGGATTTAAAAAAAAAAACAAAACTTAATTGCGGAACTTATTAAAAATGCAATTCTAATATCCAGAATCTACAAGGAACTTAAACAAATTTACAAGAAAAAAACAACACCATCAAAAAGTAGGCGAAGGATATGAACAGACACTTCTCAAAAGAAGACATTTATGTGGCCAACAAACATGAAAAAAAGCTCATCGTCATTGGTCATTAGAGAAATACAAATCAAAACCACAATAAGATACCATCTCATGCCAGTTAGAATGACAATTATTAAAAAAGTCAGCAAACAACAGATGCTGGCGAGGCTGTGGAGAAATAGGAACGCTTTTACACTGCTGGTGGGAGGGTAAATTAGTTCAACCATTGTGGAAGACAGTGTGGTGATTCCTCAAGGATCTAGAACCAGAAATACCATTTGACCCAGCAATCCCATTACTGGGTATATACCCAAAGGACTATAAATCATTCTACTCTAAAGATACATGCACACACACGTATGTTTATTGCAGCACTATTTACAATAGCAAAGACTTGGAACCAACCCAAATACACATCAATGATAGACTGGATCACAAAAATGTGGCACATATACACCATGGAATACTATGCAGCCATAAAAAAGAATGAGTTCATGTCCTTTGCAGGGACATGGATGAAGCTGGAAGTCATCATTCTCAGCAAACTAACACAGGAACAGAAAACCAAACCATGTTCTCACTCATAAGTGGGAGTTAAACAATGAGAACACATGGACACAGAGGGGGTAACATCACACACTGCGGCCTGTCAGGGGGTGGGGGGCAAGGGGAGGGAGAGCATTAGGACAAATACCTAATACATACAGAGTTTAAAACATAGATGATGGGTTGATAAATCCAGCAAAACCACCATGGCACATGTATACCTATGTAACAAACCTGTATGTTCCGTACATGTATCCCAGAACTTAAAGTAAAATTTGAAAAAAAATTTAAAAATACAATTCTAAAACTTTATGCTACCCCAAATTATCAGCGCAGAGAAGTGTTTTTTATCAAGTATCACAGGTGATTCCTATGCAAACTCAAGCTTGAAAACTAGTATATTAACCCACTTTTCAAAACTCAGTTGAAGTCACCTACTACAGCAGTCCCCAACCTTTTTGGCCCCAGGGACTGGTTTCATGGAAGACGATTTTTTCACACATTGTGGAGGCAGTGTGGAGGAAGGATGGTTTCGGGATGAAATTGTTCCACCTCAGATCATCAGGCATTAGATTGTCATTTAAGGGTCACCTAACTCAGGTCCCTCACATGCACAGTTCACAACAGGGTTTGCGCTCCTATGAGAATATAATGCCACCACTGATCTGACAGGAGGTGGACCTCAGGCATTAATACTCACTTGCCCACCACTCACCTCCTGATGTGCAGCCCAGTTCCTAACAGGCCATGGACCAGTACAAGTCCACAGTCCCAGGGGTTGGGAACCTGTGACCTACTACATGACCCAACCTGCTCTCAGTTAGAAATAATTTCTTTCCACTGTACTCTTTGAGCCTATTATATGTGTTTCTCTTATAGCATTTACACACTCTTCCCAACACTCCCCTCCACTCCCCTCAAAAAGAAAACTTTTCATCAAATCCAATTGATTATGGCAAAGGTTTATAACCTCCCCATGGCCTACTCTCCCACACCTGCCCACAAACCATTGTTCAATTACAGCAGTAAGTTACTACAGGATGATACACAGATGCAAGCCGTGATATCTGCAATTCCAGGAGCTAGCTCTAATCTACCTATCTTCCACAAATTAGCTTGAATGGTAGAAAGATTTATATTTGATCAAAGTTGGTCTGTAATTTTCAAAAAGGAAAGTGCAATAGAGCAAATGGCTTTATTCCATTAGTAAATTTCCTATAGACTTGTCTTCACAACAACTTGAAAGCATAAAAATTAAGCGTGAGTTCAGTATTTTCAGTCTGGATCATAATCCTATTCTCCTTCATTCATAATACAAAAACCTTGTTATAGGCACAGGTATCTATTGAGTATCGGTATACATAATGTATGAGAGAATGAGAGCACAGAATTAGTTTATCATTGATTAAAACAAGAATTAAATCAAAACATTCCAAGAGTTGTGTTCCATTCTGGAGCAGTATTTAAGACAGTAGTGAAAGACTTGGCCAAATATACAAAGATTCCAAGTACTATCTATGTGACTTATGAAAAAAATGAAAAAGAGAATGATAAAAGAAATCAAACTTAAGCCAAAATGGCATGGAAACAAAACAGTGGAAATCAGACTAACTTTTATTTAATCTGAAACATGTAACTATCCTCAAAAATGTTGAGTAGTCATGGAATCATAAATTTAAGAAGGTGCTTTAATACCCATCAAGTCCCACTTCTCTTACCCAGGAGGAATTTGGAACTCTTATCAAAATTGAGTGACTTTTCCAAATCCATATAACTAACAATGGGCAGAATCTGGGTCCTCTGGGGTCAATACTAATGTTCTTTTCATAATATCATTAGGCCCCAGCAATGCAAAACAAGTTCTGATTTCAACAAGCTGAATCCTCAATAAATTCAGCCCATGTTCACTTCATTTAATGGTTAAACTCTTCCCTTTGAAAAATTCCAAGCATTAACCACACTTGCATATACAGACATTATCAATTTCATAGCTGGGAAAGATAAAACTCAGCCAAGATAATTAGCTCAGAAATATAAGCACTTCCAGAAGGAAAAGAGCCAACTAGTTAGTTCCAAAATGACATTCAGAAAAACAGCATAAGATTACATTAGTTCCAAACATTAACCATCTCTTTTGAACCGACAGGATAAGCAGGATTCTACTTCTAGTATTCCAAAACACTGAGAACAAGTTCATGTTCAGCTTTTCTGTGACTATGATGAACTTAAGTATTTTAATTATACTTTACCTTCAACTTTTCAGACCAAAAAGTCAAAAATTAATCTTAAATTTAAAAAATGAAAATATGAGTTTTAGTCCAGACTGCCAAACTACTGTTACTTTAGAAAAATCACTGTCAATTTCTAGACCCCAGATTCTTTCTTCTGTAAAAATGGGGATGGAAGAGTGATTACTAGGCTTTGGTTTCTCCCAGTTCTGTTTTCCCTATCCTTGTCTAATTTCACTGATACAAAAGAAAAACAACTTTCTTAATACAAACCATATTATTCACTGAGGCTTAAAAAAAAAAACTTTAAAGAGATAGGTTATCTGGTAAAGTGCACCAGGAACTACATTATTTTGAAGGTCTTTGTTCTACATTCAGCTAAGTTTCTAAAAGTCATTCAAAAGCCAATCACCACACACATTAACTGAATGTTGGCAATATTTGGCCCTGAAAATATAAGACAAACTGAAGCTAAATTCCAGGACAGAAGCCTCTGCAAGTGAGGGTTTGAAATCTTGTATACGGTGAAGAAACTGACAATAATGAACTTCACCAGAGCCCCGTGATCTTGAAAAACAGCAAAGGTTAAGAAACCCCTTGCCCCCGTTTGTGTTCTGAGAAATTGGCTTACTGCAAAGAATCATCTTTCCTGTAGAACTTAGATAAGACTAAGGGTTGATCCATACCCCCCTACCCCTTGTTTACCTATAACAAGGCCATAACTAGACCCTTCTAATTCCCATCCTTTGCTTCGTAAATGACTTGCTGAAGTACCTGTCCCACAGATCAATCGGAACAAAATACTTATTAACCAAACTTTAAGATTCTCTTCTCTCGGGTACCTGAATTTTGTCCTTCCCTCAGTCTGAAACAACATATACAAACCTCTCCTAACAGCTCCTCCTCAGAATACATGGGCTCAGGGTAAAACATTATCTGGTTACTGCCGGATCATACCCATATTTTCATCCCAATTCCTGACATCTTATTTACCCCTACCAACAAAAGACAAACCCTTTCTGCCTAACCTTTAAGGTGCATGCAAATCTTACGGTCATTCTCCCTACTGCAACAGTTCCTTCAACCTTCCTCCACACCCCTGCAATATTCCTTTCGAATAAAGTCTGTCCTTACTAAACTCGGGTTTTTTATTTGACACCCTTTTCAATTATGAAATGGCTAAGTGTAAAGAATAAGGGGACTACCGTTTCTTTAAATGACAGGTGTTGATCTTATACAAGGAGACCCGTTGTGTCCACCTGGAGAGGCTAAAAGCATTTCTAAGATCTGAAGTTCTTGGCCACTGTTCCGCGGATGGAGAAGGGGGCGCAGAAGAGGTGACTGACCCGGCAAGGTCAACTCTGGGATCACCTGGCGCCACAGGCCATACACAGTAAATGGGCCATGAACAGGCAGGCTACCCAGTCCATACTCCCTGACAGATACGCCCCTGCCTCCGGCCCGCTAGTCTCCCAGACAGGTAGGCGTAATGCTGCTTCCTCAGGGGCTCAGACACCCTGAGATAGGTGGTGGGTCCTACCCAGCAGCTCATCCCAACGTCTCAACTCCATTCTGAGCAGAGCACCTGATGGCTCTTTTCACAGTACTGACCTCCCCGCCCTTTTCGCCCCACCGTTGTCACTCCTGCCCTCACAGAAGAACTCACCATGGCGCCTAGGATAGGTCGTGGACCAGACACCCTGGAGTTGCCGGGGCAGTCCCAAACCTCTTACCTCCCGGTCCTTGAGCCGAGAGACTCTCAAACAGCGAAAGAGAGGGTCTTCCGGCTCTGCCGGAAGTTGTGCGCGCGCGGGACAGGAAGTTCCTCCCTTCTCCAGAGCGCCGTCGACCCCACGCCACGCAGAGGTGAAGATACGCAGGACGTCCTCTAAAGCAACTTCCGTGGGTGCCAGGTTGTGGGCTGGGGGCGGTGCTGACCTTGAGAGAGCGGAGGAGGCGCAGGCGCAGCACAGGTACGTGGGCGGGCGGATCGTGGTGGCTGCGCTTGCGAGGACCCTGAGGTAGATTGGGTGGTTTCAACAGGAACGCATCCACTGTCTGAGAGGTGACGGAGGCACACGTTGGTGTGGGGAGCGGGAGGGGAGAGGGAGGGGGGCGGGTGGGGGGCGGGAGGGGGCCAGGGGTGGGAGTGAGGGTGCGCGATGGGAGTCGACTCCAGACCCAGGTGATTTAGAGAGAGTAAAGACCACCTTTGGCCGTCATTTTGTCTCAGCTTAACTGACGCCCTCTTGTTACCCTCTAGTTTTCCTGACTCGGTCCCTTATTAGCATATCCTCATTTCCACAGACCTGTCCGTCTGTTGCTTCTGTTCCCTGCCTTAGTGGGTACCGTAGCTCTACCCTCCTTCCGGGCAATGGAATCTCATAGTGAGAAGTTTCTTCACTATTCACAGGTGGCAATTGAAGCCGGAAGAACATCTACCAAGAGCAGAGAACCCAGGAAGAAAATTCTGCCTCTTTAATACGTTCCAATATGGACGTTTTCCATATAGATACCTATCTATATAGATAGATGCTCTGGGATCTGACGGTCCTGGACACCTGTATGGCTGTGTGCTGTGGTCTTTGCCTAGCCTGCGGTTCACTTTTGCTCTGGCCACCACCTCCCCTCATGTACAAACCGCGTCTCTGCTCTGCCAGTCTTGGCCCCCGTCAGGCAGCGGTTCACTCCCTCACCAGGGAAGTCTAGATAGATAGATATAGATAGATATCGATCGATAGATATAGATATATATATAGATAGATAGATAGGTAGATATATGGATAGATATAGATATTTGGATAGATATGTAGACGTCTATCTATAAATATATCGATATATCGGGGTTCTCAGCCATCCCAAAGAAGCTTGCACAGGGCCAGTTGCTTTATGTCAGGAAAAGGGACACAGACTGAGTGTATGAGGGTTTTTTTTTTCTATAGATGTATAGATATTTATATCAGATGCAAATAAGTGAAACTCTCATACAACTTTTAATTTTGTGTTTTTTCCAAACTCTATTCCATTCAACTTTTTCTGCCTTTTTATTTGATTATAATGAGACATCGTACTGGAGGCAGGCTTGAAATGGATATACAGAGCACTTTCAACCCAGAAATTTGTCTCACGACTTGGGGTCCTTACTTAAGTTGTAGCTGTTAGTAATTTCATCCATGAATTCACTTTGTGCCATAGTGTGATGTTTTGTTATGAAGTTGGAATTGGGAAGGGAAACTAGGAAGTTTTGGGAGAAGTTAAGAAGGTTGAGTAGGCAGGCGTTGTTATAGATATTAAATTTCACCCTGCTTATCAAAGTACCTGGAGCGTATGGTATCCAAGCTGTAAATGGCCCAAAGGAATCGGGGTTCTCAGCCATCCAAAAGAAGCATGCACAGGGCCAGTTATTTTATGTCAGGAAAGGGGACACAGACTGAGTGTATGAGGGTTTTTTTTTTTGTTTTTTTTTTTTAGTTTAAACTTGATTTTGTGAGGGGACGAACAGCGTGACAATTAAAAGAAGATCTGGGAATCGTAAGTACTGACAGAATACCTGGAGGGAAGGTGGGACTGGAGAATAGTTTGTGAAACAGATCCTGCTGAGGATGAATCCAGAACTTCCTGAAGGGTTCCGCTTCTGCTGTGTAGGGACAAGGTTGTAAATAGACAAGCCACAGGCACCTGCAAATGGTAAGTGTGGTAGAGAGGGGCTGGAATTGCCTGTTGGTGTATCTGTGGGAAGCAGCTGCTATCCTTGAGGAAGAAAAGATGGAGAAGGTAAGTGGCTATCAACCTGTCAGAGACAACACATTCTGTGAAGTTGTACTCTTTCATTTCTGACACTGTGGTTCTTAATATCTGTCCTAAACCTGGCAGTCATTGAGGTTCGCAAAGTATCTCCTTCTATGTGACAGTAAAACTGGAATTACTATCAGAATGGAATCCATTCCTGCTAGAGTAAAACCATGAAAAGAAATCGCAGTTTTGATTATCTGCTTATCATTTTTAATAGATCACAGAGTGCAGTGTTCCTTATTTGTTGTATGGCAAGTTGATGAATAACTCTTGATTAATATCTTTTAATGTTCTGTTTCACACAGTTCTCTCAATTACATGTGAAAAATCTGTTATATAAGTAATGCTATTTAATGATTAAAATGGATATATGTTTTAAGGTAGTGCCACCCAGTCTTTTTTTTTTGGTAGAATAATATTATTATCTATTGGTTGCCTGCCTTGAAGTACAGTAATTTCTCTGTTTCCATTATTTAAAATAGGTGAGTGTCTTTGACAAAGATACAAAGAAAGGGGACAGTTATGAAAGGGAAGAAAAGATAGATGGAGATGAAAAGAAATTCAGTAGTTTCAGCAAGGGAATTAGGAGCATAATCTTTGAGAAAAGTCTTGGTTGCTTACCATTCGGGCTTTGTGATGAGTTGAAATGTCCTGAATGAGAACTGTTCTCAAATGCTTTCAAGACCAACAAAAAGTACGATACCCACACTGACCTGGAACTCTTTAAACCATTAAGATATATCACTTTTTCGCAGTTCAGTCCATATTTTTTGCAAAATGTTCTGCTTAGTTTTTCTGCTAAGAAATTACTGTTTCTGAACAAGGTTAAGTGTCGTATGCTTTCATTGTAGTTTTTTTTCCCCTAACATATACTGTTTTCCTAATTAGACTATAAATTCCTCCACAGCTGGGACCTTGTTTTGTTTTCTCGCCTTCCCCATAACAAATATCATTTAAGTGAATGTTGTAAACAGTTACTTCATTTAAATTGCCCTTAAAATGCTTTATGACAAAGACGTTATTTGTAGTAATACCTATAATGGTAAAAAGTTTGTTGCAGTCTTACAGACGATAAGATTGATCAATTGTTATATATGCTTAGTGGAATTTTATCTAGCTGTTCTAAAGAGCCATTAGACTAGTCTTTCTAATGGAAAATGTTTATTGTCTAAGTTAAAACAGCATTTGAGGCCAGGCACAGTGGCTCACTCCTGTTATTGCAGCACTATGGGAGGCTGAGGTGGGAGGATCACTAGAGCACAAGAGTTGGAGACTAGCCTAGGCAATATAGTGAGACCTCTTCTCTACAAAAAATTTAAAAATTAGCTGAGTGTGATGGGGTGTGCCCGTAGTTCCAGCTACTCAGGAGACTGAGGTGGGAGGATCACTTGGGTCCAAGAGGTAGATGTTGCAGTAAACCAAGATCATGCCACTGCACTGCAGCCTGGGCAACAGAGCAAGATCCTGTCTCAAAAAATTAAAAAGCATTTTATAGACTGCATGTTTGTGTCCCCCCTCCCTCCGCACCAGAATTCATATATTGAAGCCTTAATCTCCAATGACATGATATTAGTAGGTGGGGCCTTTGGGGGGTGATTAAATAATAAGGGTGAAGCCCTGCATGGGATTAGTGCCTTTACAACAAGAGACCCTAGACAGCTTGCTTCCACTCTTTCTTTGCTCTTCACCATGTGAGGACACAGCAAGAAAACAGACAACTACAAATCAGGAAGAGGGCCTAATTTGTGCCAACCATGCTGGCACTCTTCTCTAACTTCCCAGCCTCCAGAACTGTGAGAAATAAATTTCTGTTGTTTAAGTCACCCAGTTTATGGTAGTTTGGTTATAGTTGCCCATATTAAGACAGCAGGATGCAAAATTGTGGCCAGTATGATTGCTTTGACATGAAACAAATTTTAAGCACAAATTGCAAAAAGTAACCAAAATATATCAATCCCCACTGCTGGCATTAACACTCTAAAACAAACTTTGTATATTGGGGGATTTTATTTATTTATTTATTTATTTTTTTTGCTGACCATAGTGACTCATGCCTATAATCCCAGCACTTTGGGAGGCCGAGTTGGGCAGATCACTTGAGGCCAGGAATTCAAGACCAGCCTGGCCAACATGGCAAAACCCCCTCTTTACAAAAATATAAAAATTAACCAGGCATGGTGGCACACCCCTGTAGCCCCACCTACTTGGGAGGCTGAGGTGGGAGGATCGCTTGGGCCTGTGAAGCAGAGGTTGCGGAGAGCTGTGATGGCACCACTGCACTCCAGCCTGTGTGACAGAGCGAGACTATCTCAAGAAAAAAAAAAAAGGATGAGGATTTTTTTTGTTTTCAACATGCTTTTTAACATCCACTATATTACTCTCATCTTTCTAGGCTGGAAAAAAAAATGTTTTAAATGTTATTCTGAAGTATATTGCAACCTTTAACAATTCAGTAGACTTCTGAATTTTTATTTTCATGTAGCTTACCACAGTTGTATCTAGGAATATATCACATAGCTGATTAATTGGTGAAATAACCCTTGCAATTTTACACAGGTTGTACAGTGCACATTTTCAAGGACCACTCACATACATCCATTTGATATTTTTTGGTATCAAGAAAGTCTTTAAACAATCAGTACCACCAATAGCAGTAAAAAGACAAAACTGTCTGAAAGTACCTATCTGTTTAAAACTTTAATTAGCTTTATCCATCCATTAAATAGTTATTGAATATAAAACTGTATCATTCACTCTTCTACACTCTGAGGAAATAGTGGTAAATAAAGCAGATATTGTCCCTACTATCAGGAAATTTACATTTTAGTAGTAATAAGCCATAAATTAACAAAAACAGAAGACAGTGGTAAGTACTAGGCATGAAATTCAAACATGACTATTTTAGATTAGGTGATTAAAGAAACTAAAATACCATTTAAGCTGCTGTGTAAATGACAAGAGAATCCAGCTTTGTAAAAATTGGTGAACCCTTTGCTTGCAGAAGGGACAACTGCAAAATCTAAGGCATGATCTAGCCTGGAATATTTCAGGAGCCAAAAGAAGGCCTGCATGGTTAGAGAATAGTGACTTAAGACGCAAATACTGTAACTTTGGAGGGATAGGAAAGGGCTAGATCATGTTACCTTTGAAAGACAGGAAAGAGTTTAGATTTTATTCTATGTGCAATGGAAAAAAAAATGAGAGCATTTTAATCCAAAGAGTAATATAAGATAATATATTTTTAAAATCCACTTTGGTAATTTGTTAATTGGCATAAAGAGTCAGCTTTCATGTAACATAATTACTAACATACTTGGATTTAAATTTGTCATTATTCTTATTTTATTTGTCCCACCTCTTATATGTTCATTTTGTCTTCTTTTGCCTTTTTGATTTTTTTTTTTCTTAATTAGGCCATAGCACCTGATATTCCCAGGCAGACTCTCATCCAAGTGCCAATCAGCCCCAGCCCTGCTTAGCTTCCCAGATCAGATGAGAACAGGCATATTCAGGGTGGTATGGCTATAGACCTTTTAGATTATTTTTAATTATTCCATTTTTTCTACCTCATAAGCTTGACAGATGTCTTTTAGTATCTTTTTACTGTTCACCTCAGGTATTAAAACATGGAACCTTGGTTTATCATCTTTAAGATAATTTGGTATTATACTTCTTCCAGGACAATGTAAGGACCTGCGAACACATCAACTTCATTTACTGCCACACCTCATGTTATATACATTGTATATTCTTAATATGTATTTCCTAAATTCTCAAGACATTTTTTATACAATATGAATTTACATTTCATATTGTATAAAACATTTACTTTTTCTATTGTGTTTCGTGGTTCCTGGAATCTGAGCTTCCATCTAAGACCTTATTTCTTCTTGAAGGACATACTTTAATATTTCTTCGAATATCTACTGGTAACAATTCATTCAGATTTTCTGTCCTGACACTGTCTTATTTTACTTTCATTTTCTAAGAACGTTTTTGCTGAATTAGCAGCTATTTTATCATTTTGAAGATATATTTTATTCCTTCTGGCTTCCATTATGTCCTCTAAGACATAATGTCCATTTTGTTTTTTTCTCTTCAAAGGTAATCTTTTTTTGGATGGCTACTTTTAAGAGGTTTGTCTTAAGTTTGGTGTGCCCACATGTGTTTTGTGTTTGTTTTTTTGTGTGTGTGGTTTTTTTCTGCTTCGAGATTGATAATGTTTCTTGAATCTGGCTGTGATGTCCTTAGGCTGTTTGAGAAAATTCTTAGCTCTGTTTGATCAGACATTGCTTCTGCTTTCACTCTCCTTTCTCCTCTTCTTTTGATACTCCACTTACATTTGTATTTGACAATTCACTTTGTCCCTTGTATTTTCCATTTATTTTCTTGTCTGTTTCATCCTGAATATTTCTTCTTAACTTTCAGTTCACTATTTTCTCTTAGTAGTCTCGAATTTGTTAAATCTCTCTTGAAGCATTTATTTTAGTTATATTTTTGGTTATCAGTTCAAACATTTCTACTTGATTCTGTTTTATTGTTTCCAGTTGTTTATCCAATATCTCAATCTTTTATTTCCTCAAACATACTAATCATAATTACTTTAAAACCTGTATCTAATAACTATGGTGTCTGCTATTATCTGACACTTTTCTTGTTTCTTGCTGTTATCACATTGTCTTGCTTTTATGTCCCTTATTTTTATGTTATTTTGTATTATTTATTTTATAAACATTATAAATATATAAAACTTGGCTTAGGTTATGTTTTAATTGAATGTCAGAATTGTTTTGATTGAACTGTATATGAGGAAACTATACTTTGAAGTCCAATATGATGGTATTTTCTAAAGAAAGAATTTATGTCTCCTGGCAAGACCTTTGGACACTAGTAATCTAAGATCTTCTTAATCTGGTTAGTGATAGAGACAATTAGAATATAGGCAGGTCTATTTCCTGTTCATACTTTCACAATGTAGACCTCTGAAGTCCCAACTCAAGCATGCAGAGTTTACCAGATCAGGCCCTAAACTTCAGTTTTTGTCTTTTTAATTCTATGGGTTAGAAACTCTGTTCAACTTTTCAGCCATCACCTCAGGAATCAGAAGATACTCCAGAGGAAAAGCTAATGTAAATGCTGGATTCAACAACTCTGTTTTTTCCTTCTGAATATTTCATTGTCTCTAATGCTGTCAGATGTTTGTTTTATATTTTGTCCAAGCTGAGTGTGGTGGCTCACGTCTGTAATTTCAGCACCTTGGGAGGCCAAGGCGGGACCATCCCTTGAGGCCAGGAATTTGAGACTAGCCTAGGCAACATAACAAGACCTTTGTCTCTTGGAAAAAAATAAATAAATAAATATTATTAGAAGTGAAAATGGGGATGTTGTTACAAATGCTGTGGAGATTGATGAGAAATTATGAACAACTTAATAATAAATGGGAAAATATAAATGAAGTAGGCAGTTCCAGAAAATGTAACTTTTCAAAAGCCATGTAATGGAAAATATAAATGGTGGGATGTTGATGTAAGAAATCATGATGCCCAGAGACTTTTGCCAAACCTTCAAAGGACAGATCATTACAATTTTACACAAACCATTCCACAGTATATTCCACTTATATACTGTGGAATTGGCCCTTACTGCCCTTATCAAATTTAACATCAAGGTTACAGAAGCTTAATATTACTGCCCTGATTTTATTAGGGCAGTAATGATTTGATAAGGGCAGTAAGAATTACAGCCCTGTCATATTCGCAAAGACAAAAATCCTAAATAAAACAGACCTTAGAAAATGTGTTTTTAAGAAAAGATAATAAAACATGATCAGGTTGAATTTAACCCAGGAATGTATTTTAGTATATTAAGAGATTAGAAAAACTATCTGGCTATCTGAACAGATGCAGGAAAAGAAAACTATTTGAAAAAATTAACAGACATAGATAAACCTTTGGGCAAATTAGAATTGTGTAGAACTTCCTTGAGCCAATAAAACCTACAACAACAATATTTTAAGATGAAGTATTTGAAGCAGTCCATTAGAATCAGGAACAAGTACTATGTTGGAGATCCTAGCCAGCATTATAAGGCAAGAAAAACAAAAGATTAAAAATTGTAAATAAACATAACTTAGTCTACAGATAAATTATTGAAGAGCTTTGCAAGGATTCTGAATATACTATTGATATGGTTTGGATCTGTGTCCCTACCCAAATCTCATGTTGAATTGTAATCCCCAATGTTGGAGGTGAGGCCTGGTGGGAGATTGGATCACGGGAATGGGTTTCTCATTCGTGGTTTAGTACCATCCTCTTGGTACTGTCCTTGAAATAGTTCTTAGGAGATCTGGTAATTTAGAATTGTGTGGTACCTCTCCCCTCTCTCTTGCTCTTGCTCCCCCTTTGCCTTCCACCATGATTGGAAGCTTCCTGAAGCTGCCTCAGAAGCAGAAGCCACTATGCTTCCTGTACAGCTTGCAGAACCATGAGCCAATTAAACCCCTTTTCTTTATAAATTACTCAGTCTCCAGTATTTATAGCAATGTGAAAACAGATAATATGACTATCAATATACAAAAGTGAATTGCATTTCTTTCCAGCAGAAATGAACTGTTAGAAAATGATTTTTGTAACATACCATTTACTATATTCCTTTAAAAATATAAATTAGGTAACTTAACAAAAGGTATAGAAGACCTCTGTAGAAAATTACAAAACTTTATTGACAGGCATTTAAAAATGTCTAATTTTAAAATTGCCATGTTCAATGATTAAAAGACTCGAGTTAAGATGGCAGTTCTCCACTACACAATGAAGGTAATTGCAATACAAATCCCAAATGAGTTTTTCAAGGAGCTTGACAAACTGATTCTAAAGTCTGTATGACAAAAAGCAGAATTCAGGATACTCCAGAAGCAGATTTAAGATAGAATTGACTTGTAGATATTCGTAACAGCAAAAAAATAAAAACAACTCAAATATCCATCAAAAGATAAAATGTTTATCCATGAAAAGATACTCAAAAAGTGACACCTTTATATAATGGGATATATTTGGCTGCAAAAAGGAATGAACTGCTAATACCTGCTATAATGTGGATAAACCTTGAAAGCCTGCTGAAATAAAGAAGCCAGTCACAAAGGACCACTTATGATTCCATTTAAACAAAGTGTATAAAGTAGAAAATGTATTGAGACAATAGATTGTGGTTGTTTAGGGCTTACAAAGTTTGGGGTGATGGGGGCCCGAGGTAGTGACAGCTAAAGGGTGCAGTTTCTTTTTGAGGCAATAAAGTTCTAAAATGTATAGTTGCACGTTTCTGTAGATACACTAAAATCAATTCAGTTGTGCATTTAAATGAGTAAATTGGTATGTGAATTGTACCTCAATAAATCTGTTAAAACCATAGTAATTAGGATATTGTAATACTGGCTTAGAGATGGAAAAATTGATTTATAAGGAATCCTGATTGTAAGGAATCTTGACTTATGTCAGAGATGGCATTGCATACCAGCAGGGAAAGCTAGATCATTTCAATAGATGACGCTGCATATTCATATGGGGGAAAAATGAAATTGGTCCTCCCTACCTAACACCATACAGAAAAAGTAGTTTCAGATGACTTTAAGATGTAAGTGTGAAAGGAAAACATAGTAAACCTTCAAAAGAAAGATTGCAAAATATTTTTATGATCTTATGGTAGGGAAATGTAATATGTATAAAGGAAAACATGTATGTCCAATATGTTAAAGTTAAAAACCTCTGTTCAAGACTCCATAAACCCTCAGAATAGCGGTTAATTTCAGTCATGCCCAGGAAACATACAAGATGAGCCTGGAATACCTTGTGCAAGATAGCAAGGAAGCTATTAGAGACTACGAGGGTGTCATATCAAATGGACTCAGGAGACAACTGAAAAGCATCCTTCTGGCCATAGATGAGACCATTTGAGTGTCAATAAGGACAGTAAATGCAATTGATTGGAACATATCAAGTGTCTTTAAATCTGAGTACATAATGATTGTAAAACAAACAGCATTTAGTTGGTCAACAGTAGAAGATGCTGTTGCATCAATTCATTATTTTGAAAATCAGTTTTGTTTTGTTTTTAAAGTAATTAGGCATTTGTCCTGCCTTTTGTATGTGAACTGTAAGTAACCACATAGTAGATGAGGAGAGGGTTCTCTTTGTACATGTATTCTAGCTAATAAATGGAGGAATGATAGAAAATTGCCATTTTGAAATTCCTAATGAACAAATGGATTTATTTATTGCATTTCAACAGCTGCTAACATGACAGACAAGAAAACATATGTTTCTTAATGGAAAAACACCACTACTGATGTTAAAATCTTATCAAAAATTTGACCCTGATACTAATCAGGTCTTTAGATCCATCCAATTTGCAGAAAATATAAACACCATTAAAACTTTAAGCCAATGAAACCTACCACAACGTAATATTTTGGAATGGAAAATATAAATGAAAAATCCAATTTTGGAGAATATTGGGACAAATTAATTTCAACAAATATGTTGCAGGAGAAAAGGAGACGAGAAGGACAAGTGGAGAAAACCGTAGATTACAAGAGACTTAGTTCAATATGAAGCAACCTGTGAACTTGGATTAGTTATCTTACTGTATAACAAATCACCCTAGCTTAAATCTAAAAATATTTATACACTTTCTTAGGATCCACAGGTGGTTTAGCTAGATGTTCTGGCCCAAGGTCTCATGAATTTGCAGTCAAGATGTTGGCTGGGCTGTAGTCTGAAAGTTTGACTGGTGTTAGAGGATCCACTTCCTAGAGGGCTCATTCGTAGAGCTGCCTGTGTTTTCTCACAACATGGCAACTGGCTTTCTCTAGAACAGGTGATCCAAGAGAGAGACAGAAACCATGATCATTCAGAGTGATGTAACATTACTTCTACTATATAATGTTAGTCACACAGACATTTCCCTGACAATATGTGGGAGGAGATTACACAAGAGCATGAATACTGGGAAGCTAGCTGTCACAATTTGGCCCCAATGATTGATAGTTCTTGATTTGCAAAATATATTCATCCCCTCCAAAAGCTCTCCAAAGCTCTCATCCTATGACACCATTAGTTCAAGGTCTAGAAATCTAAATCAGTTCCAATTGTGGATGACACTCATAGGTGTACTTAAGTACAGCTCCTCAAGAAGAGTTCTTTTTGATCTGAAGACTCATACACTAAAGACACAGTCTCTGCTTCCACATGTAATAGAAAATGAATAGGATAATAAATGTGGACATGTATATTTAAAAAGAGGGAATATTGGAGGTACATAGGTTCACAGAAATTCTGAAACCCACCTGGGCACAGATTGGCAGTTGCTTGGTCAAGTTTCAAGGCCTAGAATTCTCTTAGCTCTGCCTTCTGGGATCTTGGATCTACTCACTGAGTCACCCTTTCTTTTTCTTGTTTACACTTCTGCCTGCTTTCTGCCTATAGAAGCTTGGATGTCCCACAAGCTTCTTTCCATTTGGTTCTCTCTGTGCCTTTCAGTCCAGGCTGGCCATGTTTCTGCTAATAGACTTCTCTTAAAAACTTTGTGGCTCACTTGTGAATTTTGAGTTCACTCCATCAGACAAAAGCAACAACCACACATCTCGTCCCACATAAACTCTGCCTCAAGCTTTTGCTGATGAAAATACCCTTAAACTTTTTAAAAACCTGTGATGTTATTCAGAGATTTTCTGAGACACATCGTTTGTCTGATGAAAATACTCTGAGGCACAACTTAAGATCTTTCTGAGCTATTAAAGGACTTTATAACTACAGCCTCAACTTTATGTTTTACTGGCAGTGCCCTAGATTTGCTTTTTGCTCAGAGATATTCCCCAATTTTAGCACATTTGTCATCTGCACAGGCTGGGAATCTTCAAATCCAGCAAGTTTTGACTTGTTTTTGTTTGTTTGTTTGTAATAGAGTCTGTTTTTTGCTGTGTTGGCCAGGTGATCTTGGACTCCTGGCTTCAAGCATTCCTCCCACCTCAGCCTCCCAAAGTTCTGGGATTTTAGGTATAAGCCACCATGCCCAGCCATGGCTCCTTTTTGTTTAACAGTCCTTACTTTGATGGTCTCTCTTCTCACACATTTTACTATCAGCAACAAGAAAAAATACACATGAAATATTTAACACTTGGCCGGCAATCTCCTTTGCTAGATCAATGAGTTAATTAGGCATTTTTTCTACTTTGTACATATCTGTGGATAACAAATTTGCTAAACTTTCTGCCATTATGTAACAAGGATCTCCTTCCCTCTAGTTTCCAAGAAGAGTTTTCTAATCTGTTAAGATGTCACCTGCAGCCTCCTCAAAGGTTATCTATTATGCTTCTATAAAAAATTTCTTCAAAGCTCTTCAAACTTTCATTAACACTCTCCTCCAAGTTCTACCTTCTGTTCACTGCCAGTTTTAAAACCACACTTACATTTTAGGTTTTTGCTAACACCCCACTTCTGAGTACCAAAATGTATACTGATTTTCTATTGCTGCATAATAAACTGCCCCAAAATACAACATGCAAAGCAATAAATATTCATTATCTCATGTAGTGTCTGAAGGTCAAAAATCCGGAAGCAGCATAGCTGAGTGGTTCTGATTCATTGTCTCTTGTGAAGTTATCAGTCAAACCATCAGCTGAGACTGTAATCATCTGATGTTTTAACTAGTACCAGAGGATACACTTTCACATGCTATTGGCAGGACACTTTAGTTCTTCACTAGCTGTTTAGCAGAATACCGCACTTCCTCACCACATGTACCTCTTCATAGAGCTTCCTGGCTTCCTCTAAAACAAGTAATCCAAGAGAGAAGCAGAAGCCACCATGGTTTTTTATGCCGTTGTTGACCTAGCCCCCAAAGTGACATATTATTACACAGATATGTAGCCAACCTGTGGGTCACTGATACGGTTTGGATGTGTGTCCCCTCCAAATCTCATGTTGAAATGTGATTCTCAGTGTTGGAAGTGGGGCTGGTGATAGGTGTTTGGTTCATGAGGGTAGATCCCTTATGAATGGCTTGGTGCTGTCTTTGTGGCAATAAGTGAGTTCTCACTATCTGAGTTCACACAAGAGCTGGTTGTTTAAAAGAGCCTGTCATCTCTTTTGCTCCCTTTCTCACCATGTGATATGCTGCTCCCCTTCTCTTCTGCCATGAAGAAAAGCTTCCTGAGGCCTTCACCAGAAGCAGATGCTGGTGCCGTGCTTCTACAGCCTGCAGAACTGTGAGCCAAATAAAGTTCTTTCCTTTATAAATTACCCAGCGTCAGGTATTGTTTTATAGCAATGCAGAACAGACTAACACAGACACACACACCAACCAAGTACAGTATGAGAAGGGATTATTGGGTGCCATTTTGGAGGTTGTCTACCACAGGATTTTATCTGTATCATTATTCAAATTTCGTTTTTGAAAAATTTTGTAAGGGCACATTTATAGAAATATGAATGCTTAATATTTGATGATATTAGGGAATTAAACCATTTTTGTGTGATAGTAATTTTTAAAGATTCCTTATCTTTTAGAAATACATATTGAAATATTTAGAGATGTAGTGATATAATGTCTGGGGTATGCTTCAAGATAAGAGTTGCAGAAAGTGGGTGGTAGTATAAATCAAGATTGGTTATGAGTTGAGAATTTTTGAGTAATAGGTATATGGGGACTAAGTATTCTATTCTTCATACTTTTACATGCCGTAAATCCCCACTTATCTGCAGGGAATGTGTTCCAAGACCCCCAGTGGATGCCTGAAACTGAGAATAGTACTGGACCCTGTATATACTGTGTTTTTTCTTTCCTTATTGAGAACTTTTATGTTTTCACTTAAAGGAAGGACTTTACAGCTTCTCTTTCGCATATCCAAATTGCCAGCATCACCGCTCTTGCACTCCAAGCCATTATTAAGTAAAGTAAAGAACACAAACACTGTGATACTGCTACACTTGATCTGATAACCAAGAAGTCTACTAAGTGACTAACAGGTGGGTAGCATATACAGCATAGATACACTGGACAAAGGGAGGACTCACATCCTGGGCAAGATGGAGCAGAATGGCAGAGTTCATCATGCTGCTCAAAATGATGTGCAATTTAAAACTAATGAATTATTTCTGGAATTTTTCAGTTAATATTTTTGGACATGAGGTGACTGCAGTTAACTAAAACCATGGAAAGCAAACCCATAGATAAAGGGATACTATGGTATGTTTTCATTTTCTATAATAAAAAGTTAAAAAGGAAAAAGACACCATAGGAAAATAAAAGACAAGTCACAAACTGGGAAAAGATCTTTGCAACACATGTGACTATCGAAAGGATTAGTATTCACACTGTGTAAAGAACCACTACAATTCAATGAAAATGAAGATAATGCTTTCCACCCCAAACAGGCAATTCATACAGGAGAAAACCTGAAAAGATACCCAACCACAAGGAAATACCATTTCACACCCACCAGATGAACAAAAATGTAAAAGTCTGGCAATATTACAATTCTTATACATTGCTGGTTGGAGTATGAATTGATATAATCAATTTGGGAAACAATATGGTATTATCTAGTAGCTGAAGATGCACATCTTCTGTGACCCAGGAAAAATGTATAGCAGGAGACATGAGCAAGAAAATTCATAATGGCATTTATAACAGTAAAACGTGGAAGAAAATCCACTGTCCATCAACAGTAGAGTGATTAAATACATTGTATATGCTCATACAGCAGAATATAGTGGTGGAAAAAATAAATTACAAGTTCATGGACATAGATAAATCTCTAACAAAATGTTGAGCAAATAAAAATTCACAAAAGAATTTTACAGTAGGATTCCATTTATATAAAGAACCAATGAAAGTAAATAGCCTAAGGGTACAAACATAAGTAAATCTATAAATTAAAGCAAAAGAATGATAAGCACAAATTCAAGGCAGTGATTTCCTCTAGCTACAGAGGGAAGGGAATGAAGTAAGGAAAAGGTGAACAAGGAGCTTAAAAGTATGATAATTATATGTGTTGGTTTGGCCAAACAGTCCTGGTTTACCTAGCACAGTTCTGGTTTGCTGATTGCCTGGTGTAATGATTAATAGCACTGTCACTCCCCAAATTGTCATTGTTTGGATAATGAATTATATGCATCCTTTTTAGAGTAAAAGTAACTTTTTTCTCCTTAAACTGGATGGAGGGCATGTGGGTCTTTATCATTCTTCCTTATACATGTATTTTTAAAATATAATTTAAAACTAGTCAGTATTTTAAAATATAATTTAAAACTTTAGTCAGTGTTAGTCACTGTGTTAGTGACAACACAGTAAAAAAAAAAAATTTGTAAGATAAATAAATATAAATAGGATCCAAATGAAACTCTTTTCATCTGGGTGGATACAGGGATAAATAACATACTATATGCCTGGCATTGTATTAAGCTTGTTACTGATATTACTTCATATTCATAGCAAGACATTTAGGTAGGCATTATTATCTCCATTTTACACATGAAGAATCTAAGACACAAAGACTATACATAATTTAACCAAAGTCATATTATATGTGACAGCGCAGAATTTGAACCCAAGCAGTGTGACATCAGACTACATGCTCTTAACTACCATGCCAGAGCCCATAACAGATTTTCTTAACCTTTTTTATGCCACAGATCCCTTTGACAGTCTGGTGAAGCCTATAGAGTCCTTTTTAGAGTAATGTCTTTTGTACATCAAATATAATGCACAGGATTATAAATAAAATCAATTATACTAAAATATGGTAATCAAAATATTTAACAAATGTATACTATACCTGTACTTTTTATTAATGCATTAAATAAATAATAAAATCTAGCAGGTCTAATGAATAATTTTGAAATAATAATAATAATTGTATCTTGAGATATCTACAAATATAGTAATGTGATAGGAAAATGTTTGTGATTTTGATAAGTGAAAAAGTCACCAAAATACTTGTAATAACACTGTGGTTTTTTGCATATGTTCACAATGGAAAGAAATCCTAAATCTTACTTCGAAGTTAGCAAGAATTACAATATTTTTCCCACCCCAATTCATGGCCCTCTACTTTATGGTCTTATTTCATAGGCTTTCTGACATGTTTTGCTTCAAAGAGGTCCTATTCCCCATCCCATTTCCTATCTTCTGGTTTGGGATTACACTCAAGATGTGATATACAGATAGATTAGTTTATTAGAAAGAAAATATTTTTCCACATGGCGAACTTTAGTGGAGGCTAACAAATCAGAATGTGCTAAAATAGCCATGTGTACATATAGACAATGGGAAGCTTGGAACTGCTTTAGCATTTTATACAAAAGACTTAAAAGTAATTTCAGCTGGGCACTGTGGCTCGGGCCTGTAATCCCAGCACTTTGGGAGGCTAAAGTGAGAGGATTGCTTGAGGCCAGGAGTTCAAGACCAGCCTGGGCAACATAGTGAGACCCTCCCCCCATCTGTACAAAAAAATTACAAAATTAACCAGGCATTGTGGCTCGCACCTGTGGTACCAGCTACTTGGAAGGCTGAGACAGGAGGATGGCTTGAGCCTGGGAGGTTGAGGCTTTAATGAGCCATGATCATGCCACTGCACTCCAGCTTGGGCAACAGAGTGAGACCCTGTTTCCAAAAACAACAAAAACTGGTTTCAAATATATTGCTACATTGGAATTCTCCATAAAGGAATTAATTGTTGATAACAATGCCCTCAGTATACTATTTGTCAATACCTATAACAATGCAACAAACAAAAAAGAAAATTTAAATAGCTGGACCACATTAAAAGTTTTATTGGGCTAAAATCAAAAACATCTGACAAGTTTTTGACTTGTCTTTCTCATGATTTAATGTCCCAGCAGAGCAACTGGGAACCTAATTCTGACCAAAAAGGAGGAATTGTTTGGCTAATTGGAAGTGACAGAAACCTTGGGAGAAAGCAACCGCATACCAAGGATAATTATAAGAAGGTAACATGGGCCCTAAAGGATAGTGTCAAGAAACCTGAAACCCCCAAATGAGGTGAGACTTGCAAAAAATGCTAAGGAAGGACAAAAAACAGGCCTTTTAAAATTCTGTTCAGAACCAGAAGATGATCAAGAAAGGGAAATGCCCACTAGCAGCTTCTACTGTAAGGTTAGAGCTGACAGAGAAAGAACTCCTTAACTACTATTTGCTTCATTCTCTACAAAGGAAACTAGAGAAGTGGGTTGATGTAATAGAAAGAACATGTGTTTGTGGGGCCAGGCAAACCTGGGTTTAATTCTGTTTCAACACTGCTTAACAAAATTTATGGGAGGCTATTGTTTTGGATTGGGCTCCTGCACCAGGCCCCTCCGGACCAAACCAAAATGGAGTCACTCATACTAAAACTCCAGGTCACTGAACCAAAACTAAGTTGTTTATCTGACCTTCCAAGAAATCAGGAGGGAGAAAACAACCAAATCTCCAAACAGGCCAGTTTTAATCAGCGTGATAAGGAAGTCCTCTCTTTTTTAACCCTATAAAGAAAGTAACTTTTTGAAATGATCAATACACTTTGTATTCCTTAGTTCTGCTTTCTTTAGCCCCTTTCTGCCTATAAAGCCCACTTCCTCTGCTCAACTTACTGAAGCAGTATTCCATTTTATAGAATGAGATGCTGCCCAATTCTGGAATCACTAATAAAAGCCAATTAGATCTTTACATTTGTTGAAATTTTGTCTTTGACAACATTACTAGTTATATTATTCTGGGTATCCTTTTCCCCATCTGTAAAATGGACATAGCGATATCCTTCCCATCAGATTTTTCTCATTAATAGAAGTAATACATTCAAAACACTGAGCCAGGCTCACACCAGTGAGCAACTTGTTAATATTACTCAGAAGCATATTATAGATATTGACAGAAAGCAATACTGTTCCTAATTAGGGGAAGAAATTCTAAGAGAGTACCTAAGAGTTTGAATTTAGATTATAACATTTGCTCTGAGTATTTTACATTACAGCCTTTGGGGGGAAAAGTACAAATGAGATCTGAGAACAGTGGTACTCATCTTTGAGGAATTATGGAAAACGTAATAGAACACTAAACATGGGAAAACATCGGCCTTCAGGTTGAAAAGTGGAAATCTCAATCCCTGAATTTTTTTTTTTTTTTTACTAAGTAACTTTTTTGCCCATTGGTGTCATTTAACCAAAAGAAGAAGAAATTCCAAAAAAAAAAAAAATCAACTGAAACAAAAGAATAGACTGAATTTGCCAAAAGAGTGCTTAAATGGAGACCTAAGTCTTCAAAGCTAAGGTGATGAGAAAAGAACAGGTCTTAAATTTCTTCAGAGCTTCAAGAGGCAAAGCTTGAAAGAAGAAAAAATTTTATTCTTAGGTAAGATGTAGGGGTAGAATGGTGGCCCCTGCAAAAGGTAAGCCTTCCTCCTAATCCTAGAATCGTGGATGGTACCTTATTTGGATAAAAAGGTCTTTGCAGATGTAATTAAGAACCTTGAGATGAGGAGATCATCCTGGATTATCTGGTGGACTGTAAAGTCAATGACATGTATTCATATATGACAGAAGAGAAGACATGGAGAAGAGGAGGGAGTAGTTGTGACCGTGGAGGCAGAGAATGGAGTAATGTGATCATAAATCAAGGAATGCTGACAGCCACTAAAGCTGGAGAAGGCCAAGGACAGATATTCAATCCTCCCGTAGAAGTACAGCCCTGCTAATGCATTGATTTTGGACTTCTGGCCTCAGAACTGTAAGAGAATAAATTTCTATTGTTTTAAGCCTTCAGTTTGTGGTAGTTTGTTACAGAAACCCTGTAAAGTTAATACACAGAGTTCAAAGAGAATCCGGTAATATCTCTAAAAGACTCGTGTATTAGTCAGGATTCTCCAGAGAAGCAAAGCCAATAGAATGATACATGTTGTTAAAGCAAATTAAAATGGAGACCATGCCTGAAGAATCTCTGTGCAGAGAAACCCAGTTAGGCCTCATAAGTTAACCTTACTTGATTTGCAAACATAATCTAAAAGTTAACTGGAGCTATTTCCGGTAAATGAATATAACACAACTTAAGCTCAATCAGTCAGAAGCAGCTTTATAATTATGTAGCTAGGGACTTTCCAAGAGGATGACCAAAGAAGGAAATGATATAACTATAACCAAATAAATATTTTCTTTGCTTTCCTGTTCCTCCTATAAAAGCCTCCCCACTGCTGAGCTGTGCTCAGCAGAGCTCCGAAACAACTTCTGGTTTAGAGTTGCCCGATTTGTGAATCACTGTTTGCTCAAATAAACTCTTTAAAATTTTATTGTATCTCAGGTTATCTTTTTTAGATAGATAGATGATATATGATAGATAGATAGATAGATAGATAGATAGATAGATAGATAGATAATAGATAGATAGATAGATTATTTATTATGGGAATTGGCTCAATCACAGAGACCCAAGATCTGCCGTCTGCAAACTGGAGAACCAGGAAAGCCAGTGGTGTAATCAAGTTCAAAGGGCTGAGAACCAGGAGAATCAATAACTTAATACCCAATGTAATAAGGCCTGAGAATGTGGGGTAGGGATGCTAGTATAAGTCCTAGAGTCTGACTACTGCAGAACCAGGAGTTCTGATGTCCAAGGGTAGGAGAAGATGGAGGTCCTAAATCAAGAATAAAGCAAATTCACCTTTTCTTTGCCCTTTTTGTTCTATTTGGGCAGGCCTCCAGTGAATTGGATGATGCCCACCCACACTGGTAGAGCAGATCTTTAGTCAGTCTTGATTCAAATGCTAATTTCTTCACAGAGGCACACAGAAATACTGTTTTATCATCTATCTGGATAGCCCTTAACACAGCCAAGTTGACACATAAAATTAACCATCACAATTAGGTTTTCCTGGGTTGGAAGGAATGGGAGATAATGAAACGGGTGCTGGAGGGTAGAGGAGGTCTGAGGGACTTCTTGGCGGGACTATGTGAACCAGAATGGAATGAGCAAATTACAGACCCCACAGTCTCTGCTCTGACAGAGATTGCCAGAGTTTGAAATAGACCTGATAGGGTTACTACAGGTTACCAGAACCGGGAAGTCATGTGGCAGCCAAGCTAATATCCAAAGATCACCCAAAGAGTATTTCATGTGATCAGGAAGAGTCTCTGTTTAATTGACAACTGCTTCCCACTTCCCATCCCCTTCACGTGTAGCAGGAGTCACAGCTGTCTGTATGCAGGTACTTTACTCGACCCTATCCAAACTATTAATAGGAAAAAGTACTTTCTCAGTAGTCTAAGTAGTCACAAACCCTAAGAAATACAGAAAAGATTATGGACATCTACGGGAGTGCCAGTGATATAAAATGATAATCCATATCACATGGAAACCCTCCCACATAAATAATCTTTATTTGACTAGGACTTTATTCATTCAACTGAGATTCTCCAACACCCCTGATAACCAGCCAGGACCGTGCTGATCCTAGGCAACAATCTAAAAGGAATAATTAAAGGATGCTCTGGGAGCATCTATAAGAGAAAGCAGTAATCAATCGAATACAGCACGGGTTTATCTATAATAATTTCAGTCTAATTTAATTTTCTTTCTGATAGTGTTACTAGGCTAGTCAACCAATAAAATGCAGTAGGTAATATTTTTCTGGGCCCATGAGGTATTACTGACTTTTTTTTTTTTATCATATCCTTGTGAGTAAGTTGGAGGGGTTGGGGAGGCTAGATGGTAGTACTGTCAGGGAAGGACTTAGCATCCAAAGGGTACTGACTCCTAGATGGCAGTCAGCCTCTCCAGAGGTTTTTAGTATAGAATTACAGTCCTCGGTCTTCTGTGTTTCATTGACTTAAAAGAAAACATAGAATCCATATTTATCAAATTTTTACCTGATTCAAAATCAGGAAGGATAGTATTTTTTCCAAACTTTGGAACAGCTTGATGTTGACTCTGGGCTAAATTCTGTATGGGCATAATTAGAATCAATAAAATTTTGAGAGTCTATAACAATATAGGCAGAGTCCAACAAACTAGTAGGATTTTTAAGTTTATTCACTCATTTAGATGTCACAAATTTCTGGAATATCAACTCTGTGTAAATGTCTATGTTAGGCTTTAGAATATGAATAAGGTATGTTAGACTGCAGGAGTTTAAAATCTGGTGAATAAAACAAACTTGTAAACACAAAATACAACAAATATTAATTGTAAGGCATTATTTAGCATTATATTTAGTAAAAAAAACTACAGTTAATTGTATGATATGCACAGGGACTGGCATGTGTGAAACACCTTTAGACATTTAATAAGCTGGAAAAAATAATATTTACCATAAACATATACTACTGGTGCAAACATAAAATAGTAATTTTGTGGAAAGTAATTATGTACAAGCCATACTATTTAATGCAGCAATTTCCTTCTAAGAATCTACTTTAAAAATAATCTAAAATATATTCATGTTATATATATATAAGGAAGTTCATAATCAAATTATTTATAATGGCAAAAAAGTTTAACATGAATGATTAAAAAGATAGTATAGCCATATGATAGTGTCATAATCATAAACAGTTATGTCTCTAAAAAACAGGTGTCTGAAATATTATGTCACATTCTAGAATAGCATGTTATAGTCAACTAGAAGTCTGGGAAAAAATGATTTTTTTACTGTAAAACCTCTTGAAAGTTTTGAATTTTGTGCCATGTTGCGTGTAACACATTCAAAAAATAAACACAATTTTAAAATAAAGGATTCAACTTAAAATTTTAAAAATACACTTACAGATAGTTTTTAATGATATAAAGAAATACTCATGATATACTAAGTGAAAGGCAAGGACATTACATTATTTCTTGCAGCAGTTATGAATAATTGGAAAATGTATTACCTGGCTGTATTACTAGGAATATTTTCTTCAGTATTTTGCACCCTAAGAAATCTAGGACTGGTTTACATAAAAGCAAGCAGAATGATGAAGAAACTCACCTTAAGAACGGTTGAATGAAAATGTAAATGTTTAGCCTGGAATATATATATATATATGAGATCATGATGACTGTCTTCAAGCATCTGACATCCTGCCATGTGAAAAAGTGATCACGCTTCCACTGGAAGGTCTCAGAGGATGGAACTAGACCCATTGGCAGGAGCTATAGCAAGCCATTTCAACTCGATGTCAAAATACTTGCAGACTTAGTCACTTGCTTATATGTCATTTCAGTTCAATGTCAGGAAACACATCCAAAAAGAACAGGGCAAAAAATGAGTGGTTTCCCAGTCACTTGAAAGATTCAAGCATAAATTATCACTTCCTTGATAGGACATTATGGAAGAGATTCAAGCATCAGAAGTGTGGTTTTTGGGTGTGATTCCAGCTGTACGAGAAGCCATTTAATCCCCCTGGAACTTAGTTCTCCATAAAATGGGGACGTTTGACTAAAGTACCTCTATCTCTTTTTGAGTTTGAAACTCTTTTGATTCTGCTTTGGAGTAACAACATTTTTCTCTCTTCCAGATTTATATATCAGCTTTTTATCAGTTGAAATAAACCACCCTGGGCCGGGTGCAGTGGCTCACACCTGTAATCCCAGCACTTTGGGAGGCCGAGGCAGGTAGATCATTTGAGGTCAGGAGTTCAAGGCCAGCCTGACCAACATGGTGAAACCGCATCTCTACTAAAAAATACAAAAATTAGCCCGGTGTTGTGGCAGGCGCTTGCAATCCCAGCTACTCAGGAGGCTGAGGCACAAGAATTCC